>NT_167249.2:1745110-1837334 GCF_000001405.40 Homo sapiens | reverse complement strand
GGCCAGGCTGGTCTCAAACTCTTGGCCTCAAGTGATCTGCATCTGCCTGCCTTTAGCCTCCCAAATTGCTGGGATTACAGGCATGAGCCACTGCACTTGGCCAAAATCAGCCATCTTTTTTTTTTTTTTTTTTTTTTTTTGAGGCCGAGTCTTGCTCTGTCGCCCAGGCTGGAATGCAGTGGCGTGATCTCAGCGCACTGCAAGCTCTGTCCCCAGGTTCATGCCATTCTCCTGCCTCAGCCTCCCAAGTAGCTGGGACTACAGGTGCCCACCACCATGCCTGTCTACTTTTTTGTATTTTTAGTAGAGACAGGGTCTCACTGTGTTCGCCAGGATGGTCTCGATCTCCTGACCTTGTGATCTGCCCGCCTCGGCCTCCCAAAGTGCTGGGATTACAGGCGTGAGCCACTGCACCCGGCCAAAATCAGCCATCTTTCTAAGGAACATTGATTCGTTTTAGTGAGGAATGGTCTTTAGTGCTGGGAGAGCTCGTTGCTACAGAGGTGTCATCGCTTTAAGTCACATTTAGGGTTTAAAAAAAATCATGAATTCATATTGGTATTTCCAATTCAAATTGTACATTATAGGTTTTTCCCTCTTCTTGGACTTTGTATTTGTATATCTTTTATCAGGGCAATCGAAAGCCTTGGCTCTTAATACTCTTAATATATTTACCTATTTTTCTCTCCTACAATATACATAAAATCATCTTAAAATTGCATTGGGCCAGGCACAGTGGCTCATGCCTGTAATCCCAGCATTTTGGGAGGCTGAGGCGGGCGTTATCACTTGAGGTCAGTAGTTCGAGACCAGCCTGGCCAACATGGCAAAACCCCGTCCCTACTCAAAATACAAAAATTAGCTGGGTGTGGTGGTGGGCATCTGTAATCCCAGCTACTAGGGAGGCTGAGGCAGGAGAATAGCTTGAACTTGGGAAGTGGAGGTTGCAGTGAGCCAAGATTATGCCACTGCACTCCACTCGGGGTGACAGAGCGAGACTCCATCTCAAACAAACAAAAGAAATCGGCTGGGCATGATGCATTCATCTGTAGTCCCAGCTACTCAGGAGGCTGAGGTGGGTGGATCACTTGAGCCCGAGAGATTGAGGCTGCTGTGAGCTATGATCGTGCCACTGCACTCTAGCCTGGGCAACAGAGCAAGATCTTGTCAAAAAAAAAAAAAAAATTGGGAAACAAAATCTTTTAGGGCTTCTGAAGTCACCCCATGAGTAACTGAGTGTGATGAGTGTAGGACTCCTGGTCCCAGCACCTGGTCTTATTTCTGTTTCTCAAACATGTCCTTTCCACCCCAAGACTTTTATCCCTTTTTGTTCCCTGGTCTGGAATACTCTGTCCCACCTACCCGCCACCTGTAGTCTTGCCACATCCAGTCTCTGCTGACATATTCCTCAGAGGGGAATATGTGCCTGATTCCCCTCCTTTCAACCTAGGCAAGGTGAGTTTCTCCTGCATGAGTTCCTCTATGGCCAATGAGCCTCACACAATTGAGTGTCTACCATCCACCCGCCAGCAAGGCCCCAAGACAGCACGTTTTCTTCCCTGTTGATCACTCTATTCTCAGTACCTATAACAGCACTGTATTAGTTAGGGTGTTCCAGAGAGTTAGAACCAATCAGATGAAAGAACTGTTTCATGCTATCATAGGGGTTGGCAAATCCAAAATCTGCAGAGCAGGCAGGCCAGCAGCAAAGAGTTGATGTTACAGCTCAGGTCCAAAGGCGGTGTGGAGGCAGAATTCCCTCTTCCTCAGGGACCTCAGTCTTTTTGTCTTAGGCCTTTGAATGATTGGATGAGGCCCACTCACATTGTGGAGGGCAGTCTGCTTTATTCAAAATGCACCAATTTGAAACATCCAAAATACCCTCACAAAACCATCCACAATGTTTGACCAAATATCTGAATACCATGGCTTAGCCAAGTTGACAAATAAAATTAACCATCACAAGTACCTAGCACAAATGCATAATTTTATGTCTATATGTATATATATTTTCTTATACATACATATGCATGCATACACATATTTATGATTATAAAAAGTATATATATATCTATATATATAGAGAGAGAAATAAAGGAATGATCCATGTACCTTACAAATACACTAGAAACATAAATTCATAGATAGCAGCAGATCTCATTACGATGTTTAATTTTATGTGTCAACTTGTCTGGGCCATGGTGTCCAGATATTTAGTCAAACATTATTCTGGATGTTTCTGTGAAGGTGTTTTTGGATGAGATTTACATTTAAATTGGTGAACTTTAAATGTAATGAGGGTGGGCTTCATCCAATCAGTTGAAGACCTGGTTAGAACAAAAGGCTGTCCTCTCTCTTTTGTTCTGGTCAGAAGTTTCCAGCACACCACCTTTGGACTTGAACTGCAACTCTTTCCTGTGTCTCCAGCCTGCTGGGCTCTCCTATCAGACTTTGGACTCACCAAGCCTCCACAATTTTGTGAACTAATTCCTTAAAATAAGTCACACTCTCTCTTTCTCTCTCTGCAAGTATGTATGTATGTACGTATGTATGTATATTCTATTTCTCTGGAGAACCCTGACTAACTCAGAAAGCAAAAATGCCCTCTATGGCAGGGTGCAGTGGCTCATGCCCGTAATCGTAGCACTTTGGGAGGCCGAGGCGGGCAGATCACCTGAGGTCAGGAGTTCAAGACCAGCCTGGCCAACATAGTGAAACTCCGTCTCTACTGAAAAAAACACACACACACAAAAATTAGCCGGGCATGGTGGCAGGTGCCTATAATCCCAGCTACTTAGGAGGCTGAGGCAGGAGAATCGCTTGAACCTGGGGGGCGGAGGTTGCAGGGAGCCAAAAACGTGCCACTTCACTCCAGCCTGGGTGAGAGAGCGAAACTCTGTCTCAAAAAGAAAACCAAAACCAAAAATGCCGCCAATCACGTCTATGAGATAACCATTGTTTACTGTTTGTTCCGTGTTCCTGTATTCTCTCCCCCAACTTTTTCCTGTTTATATATCAGCAAAGATGGATGGAGGGGAAGATTGAAAAAAATGTTTCTTCCAGTTTATATTGTTCTGCAACTTTTATTATTTATTTATGATGTGCTCATTTTCCCATGTCAATACATATAGATCTTTACAAAATGATACTGTGATATTTCATTGTATATACACAGCCTACTTTAACTATTCTGGTACTCCCCCCACGGCCCCCCCCCATTATTCACTAGTAGACATAATGCCTCAAAAAAACATTCTTGGGTGGGTGCCGTGGCTCACATCTCTAATCCCAGCACTTTGGGAGGCTGAGGCGGGCAGATTGCTTGAACCCAGATATTGGAAACCAGCCTGGGCAACATGGTGAAACCCTATCTCTACAAAAAATACAAAAATTAGGCTGGGCGCGGTGGCTCACACCTGTAATCCCAGCACTTTGGGAGGCTGAGGCAGGTGGATCACGAGGTCAGGAGTTCGAGACCAGCCTGGCCAACATGGTGAAACCCTGTCTCTTCTAAAAGTATGAAAATTAGCTGGGTGTGGTGGCATGCGCCTGTAGTCCCAGCTACTCAGGAGGCTGAGGCAGGAGAACTGCTTGAATCCAGGAGGCGGAGGTTGCCATGAGCTGAGATCGTGCCATTGCACTCCAGCCTGGGTGACAGAGCGAGACTCCATCTCAAAAAAAAAAAAAAAAAATTAGCTGGGTGTGGTGGTGTATGCCTATAGTCCTAGCTATTCGGGAAGCTGAGCGGGGAGGATTGCTTGAGCCTGGGAAGTTGAGGCTTCAATGAGCTGTGATTATGCTACTGTACCATGCCTGGGTGACAGCAAGACCCTGTCTCAGAAAACAAAACAAAACAAAACAAAACAAAAAACAAAAAAACCCCAAAAATTCTTGTACTTACTTTTTTGCACACTAGAGGGAGTGTTTCTATAAATTCCTAGTTGCCATGAATGGAATGTTTGTAGTCCCCTCAAACTGTATGTTGAAGCTCTCTAATTCCCAATGTGATAGTCTTTGGAGGTGGGGCCTGGGCTATAATGAGGTTTGGATAAAGTCATGGGGGCATAATGGGATTGGTGCCCTTATAAAGAGATGAAGAGAGGCTATTGCTCTCCCTGCCACAGCAAGGCGGTGGGATGGGCCGGGTGTGGTGGCTCACGTCTGTAATCCCAGCATCTGGGAGGCCGAGGTGGGAGGACTGCTTCAGCCCAGGAGTTCAAGACCAGCCTGGGCAACATAATGAGACCTCGTCTCTACAAAATTACAAAAATTTAGCTGGGCCTGGTGGCATGCACCTGTAGTCCCAGCTACTCGGGCGGCTGAGGTGGGAAGATCAGTTGAGCCCAGGAGGTTGAGGCTGCAGTGAGCCAAGCTTACACCATTGCACTCCAGCCACCTGGGTGACAGAGAAAACCCTCATCTGTTAAAAAAAAAAAAAAAAAGAAAGAAAGAAGAAAGAAGGAAGAAAGACAGAGAGAAAGAAAGAAAGAGAAAGAGAAAAAGAAAGAAAGAAAAAGAAGGAAAAGAAAGAAAATGAAGGTGGGACATCTGTGAACTGGGAACAGAAAAAGGACCTTCACCAAGCACCTTAACTGCCAGTGCCTTGATACCTGAACTTCCCAGCCCCAAGAACTGTGAAAAATAAACCTCTGTTGTCTATAAGCCATCCAGGCTGTGGTGTTGTTATAGCAGCCCAAACTAACTAAGGCACTAATTTAAGTGGAAATGCTAAATCAAAGGTTATGAAAATGTTTAATATTAATAGGTACTAAATTACTTCCCCCAAAGGTGATAAGTTTACACTCTTATCAACAAGAGGTTAAAACATTGTTTTAAGCTGGGTGCAGTGGCTCATGCCTGTAATCCCAGCATTTTGGGAGGCCAAGGTTGATGGATCACTTGAGATCAGGAGTTCGAGACCAGCCTGGCCAACATGGTGGAACCTCGTCTCTACTAAAAATACAAAAATTAGCCGGGCATGGTGGCGGGCGCCTGTAATCCCAGCTACTCAGGAGGCTGAGGCAGGAGAATCGCTTGAACCCAGGAGGCAGAGGTTTCGGTGGGCTGAGATCGCGCCACTGCACTCCACCCTGGGCGACAGAGTGAGACTCTGTCTAAAAAAAAAAAAAGTTTTAATTTACTTTTACTATATGACTGGAGGGGTTGAAAATAATTTCATATTTATTGTTCAATTGAATTTATTCTTCTGTAAATTACTTATATCACTTATATGCTTTTAACAATATATCTTTTAAAATTAATTTGCAGTTGGTATATGATGGATATTACAATTCTACTGTATATGCTGATACTGTTGTAACCACCCAATTGGTTCATTTTGCCTGCTGCTCAGATAGAGCCAATTTATGAAGACAGGGGAATTGCAATAGAGAAAGAGTTTTATATACATAGAGCCAGTTAAACAGGAGACTGAAGTCTTATTATTACTTATATCAGCCTCCTCTCAAATTTGAAGGCTTTTTCAAGATAGTTTGGGTTGGGCATGGCAGCTTACACCTGTAATCCCAGCACTTTTCGAGTCTGAGGTAGGAGGATTGCTTGAGTCCTTGAGTTTGAGATCAGCCTGGACAACACAGCAAGACACCATCTCTACAAAAAATTTAAAAATTAGCCAGGTGTGGTGGTGTACACCTGTAGTCCCAGTGACTTGGGAGGCTGGGCCAGGGAGGTTGAAGCTGCTGTGAGCCATGATTGCACCACTGCACTACAGCCTGGGCGACAGAGTCTCAAGAAAAAAAGAAAAAAAAAGATAGTTTGCTGGGCAGGTGGCTAGGGAATGGGTGCTGCTGATTGATTGGGATGCAATCATAGGGATGTGGAAAATGGTCCTCGTGCACTGAGTCCACTTCTGAGTGGGGCCATAGGACCGGTCTTGGATCTGGGTGGAGTCATCTGGTTTTCCAAAATGGAAAAGCCTGAGCTGGGCAAGGTGGCTCGTGCCTGTAACCCCAGCAGTTTGGGAGGCTGAGGCAGGAGGATCGCTTGAGTCCAGGAGTTTGAGACCAGCCTGAACAACAGAGCCAGACATCATGTCTACTAAAAATACAAAAACAAAACAAACAAACAAGCAAAAAACACCCCAGAACCAAAAAACAACAAAACTGGCCAGGCATGGTGGCATGCACCTGCAGTCCCAGCTACTTGGAAGGCTGAGGTGGAAGGTTCACTTGAGCCCAGGAGATAGAGACTGCAGTGAGCTATGATCACTGCACTCCAGCCTTGGTGACAGAGCAAGACCTTGTCTCAAAGCAAACAAAACAAAAAATAACTGCAAAGACATCTCAAAAGGCCACAGTGATATCATTTTACAGGACTAATTGGGGAAGTTACAAATCTTGTGACCTCTGAAACAATGGCGGGTAATTGTTTATCTAAGCCTGCATTCAGGCCCCTCTCATCCTCCCTAACCTGGTGGCCTTTCATCATTTTTACAAAGACAGGTTAGTTTTGGGAAGGGCTATTATCATTTAAACTGTAAACGAAATTTCTCCCAAAGTTAGCTTGGCCTTTGCTCAGGAATGACTAAGTGCAATTTGGAGGTTAAAGGCAAGAAGGAGTTGGGTTAGATTGGATATCTTTCAATGTCATAATTTTCTCACTGTTACAATTTTTGCAAGGGTGGTTTCGGTGTTTTCATTTTTTTTTCCTTTGTTAAAGCTATATTGACACCTTCCTTCCATCTCCTCCTTGCATTCCCACAGCACATCCTCCAACAGAAGCCACAGACAACAGAAGAGAGCAGCTTCCCTGTGTGTCCCATACCCACCTCTCCACTTCTGCCACTGGGCATGGACTCCTTTTGATGAACAAGTTCCTCTCACCACGAGCTCACTCTCTTCACACCTAGCTCTAGACCCATGGAAAAAGTCCTGCTGAGTCAAGTCAAGAAGTTCTTCTTTTTTTTTCTTTTTTTGAGACGGAGTTTCACTCTTGTTGCCCAGGGTGGAGTGCACTGGCGCAATCTCGGCTCACTGCAACCTCCGCGGCCCGAGTTCAGGTGATTCTCCTGCCTCAAGCTCCTGAGTAGCTGGGATTACAGGTGCCTGCCACCACGCCTGGCTAATTTTTTGTATTTTTAGTAGAGACGTTGTTTCACCATGTTGGCCAGGCTGGTCTCAAACTCCTGACCTCAGGTGATCCAACCGCCTCGGTCTCCGAAGTGCTTGGATTACGGGCGTGAGCCACCGCGCCGGGCCAAGTTCTTCCTGAGGACCCAAACCCTAGACACTCAAACCAGTGGTCTCTCTGTCTCTTCTGCACCCACTCCCACCATCGTGCCCTGGACCTCAACAGGGGTTATGCTGGGTGAGAGGCTGCTAGATGTTTAGAGACACTGAAATCCAGGGCATGACTGTGGCCAGGAAGAAAACAAGGGCAAGAGAAAGATGCTAGAGATAAACTTCCTTTTTCTTTATTCTTCCTAAGGATGAGTCCAGCAGCCAGGTCCTGGGTGAATTTGTCCATTTAGGCACATAAAAAATGGACCAACATGGAAATGTTCACACACTCCCTTATTAGATCAGTTAGGTTCACACAGAAAAAAACAAAAAAAGTTTCCTAAAAATTGTCACCACTATGATGATGCACTTGTTCTGTGTTTTTGTTTTCTTGTTTTATTTTGATTCTTTTCTTTTTTTTTTAAGAGACAGGATCTCACTATGTTGCCCAGACTGGTCCCACACTTCTGGGCTGAAGTGATCCTGCCTGTTTCCCAAAGTTCTGAGATTACAGGTGTGAGCCACCAACCATGCCTGGCTTTTTTTTTTTTTTTTTTTTTTTTTTTTTTTTGAGACGGAGTCTTGCTCTGTCGCCCAGGCTGGAGTGCAGTGGCACAATCTAGGCTCACTGCAAGCTCCGCCTCCTGGGTTCACGCCATTCTCCTGCCTTAGCCTCCTGAGTAGCTGGGACTACAGGCGTCCACCACCACGCCAGGCTAGTTTTTCATATTTTTAGTAGAGACGGGGTTTCACTGTGTTAGCCAGGATGGTCTCGATCTCCTGACCTCGTGATCCGTCCGCCTCGGCCTCCCAAAGTGCTGGGATTACAGGCGTGAGCCACCGCGCCCGGCCATCTTAATTCTTTTATGGACAGTGTGAAGTAGACATTTTAACTCCATGGTAGAGGTGAGAAAACTGAGGCTTAGTAGCAATGCTTTAATTGGAAACATTTACTCACAAATAGATAAGACTCTAAAAAGAAAAAAAAAGTGATTCATGCGATTAGTCCCCACTTCTCAGGGAAAACCCTACAAAACACCCGAGCTGCTGGCTACAAATGTCATGGGTTTATTTAATTTTCCACGTGGTTGTTTCTCCCTGGCCAGTGAACATTTCATTTAGCAGGGAGGCTGGATCTGGCCTGCCATCTGGCTTTCGTGGTGCACTTTAGACTCTGGAGTTTGACAACAGCTGTTGCACAACCATGCCAGGAGGCCACCAGTCTTGGGACAATGGTTTCTCATTAGTTTGCATAAGGTAGAACAGAAATATAGTAGCTGAGGGAAAACAAAAACTTTAAATAATTTAGGGATGGGATTTTCCTGGATGAGTCACATTTTAATGAGTATATCAATGATTCATTATGTATGAACGTTATGATGTGTGCAGAAGTTATTTCTTTTTTTTTTTCTTTTTTTTTTTTTTTTTGAGACAGGGTTTCGCTCTGTTGCCCAGGCTGTAGTGCAGTGGCGTGATCTCGGCTCACTGCAAGGTTCACACCATTCTCCTGCCTCAGCCTTCCAAGTAGCTGGGACTACAGGTGCCTGCCACCGCACCTGGCTAATTTTTTTTGTATTTTTAATAGAGACGGGGCTTCACCGTGTTAGCCAGGATGGTCTCCATCTCCTGATCTCGTGATCCGCCCGCCTCAGACTCCCAAAGTGCTGGTATTACAGGCGTGAGCCACCGCGCCTGGTCTATGCACAAGTTATTTTTATCAGCTCTAACTGTCCTTAAGACCAAGTATCAACATGAACTCAACATAGAACCAGACCATCAAATGTCTGCATTACAAATTGTTAAAGCATCATTTTCAAAAATAATTAAGCATAATTAGTCATATTGCTCTCACTTGAAAGTATATAATTAATAATGTTATAAGGGCAAAATATTCTTTTTTCTTTTTCTTTTCTTTTCTTTTTTTTTCTTTTTTGAGACACAGTCTCACTCTGTCGCCTAGGCTGGAGTGCAGTGGTGCGATCTCGGCTCACTGCAACCTCCGCCTCCCGGGTTCAAGCGATTCTTGTGCCTTAGTCTCCCGAGTAGCTGGGATTACAGGCACCCGCCACTACGCCCAGCTAATTTTTTGTATTTTTAGTAGAGACAGGGTTTCACCATGTTGGCCAGGCTGGTCTTGAACTCCTGACCTCGTGATCTGCCCGCCTCGGCCTGCCAAAGTGCTAGGATTACAGGCGTCAGCCACCGCGCCCAGCCCTATTATTTGTATTTTGAATAAAAATTGTTATTTAAATTATTTTTCTTTATCATATCTTCTAAAATTTCTAATTAAAACACTTTATAATGTGCATAATGTATTGCTACAAAGCAACATACAGTTTAAAAAGTAGGGAAGATTTTTTTTATTTTTTATTTTATTATACTTTAAGATCTGGGGTACATGTGCACAACATGCATGTTTGTTACATAGGTATACCTGTGCCATGGTGGTTTGCTGCACCCATCAACTCGTGATTTACATTAGGTAGTTCTCCTAATGCTATCCCTTCCCTAACCCCCAACCCCCCCACAGGCCTCGGTGTGTGATGTTCCCTGCCCTGTGTCTGTGTATTCTCATTGTTCAACTCCCACTTATGAGTGAGAACATGTAGTGTTTGGTTTTCTGTCCTTGTGATAGTTTGCTGAGAATGATGGTTTCCAGCTTCATCCATGTCCCTGCAAAGGACATGAACTCATCCTTTTTTATGGCTGCATAGTATTCCACGGTGTATATGTGCCACATTTTCTTAATCCAGTCTATCATTGATGGACATCTGGGTTGGTTCCAAGTCTTTGCTACTGTGACTAGTGCCGCAATAAACATACATGTGCATGTGTCCTTATCATGATTTATAATCCTTTGGGTATATACCCAGTAATGGGATGGCTGGGTCAAATGGTATTTCTAGTTCTAGATCCTTGAGGAATCGCTGCATTGTCTTCCACAATGGTTGAACTGATTTACACTCCCACCAACAGTGTAAAAGTGTTCTTATTTCTCCACATCCTCTCCAGCATCTGTTGTTTCCTGACTTTTTAATGATCACCATTCTAACTGGCGTGAGATGGCATCTCATTGTGGTTTTGATTTGCATTTCTCTGGTGACCAGTGATGATGAGCATTTTTTCATATGTCTTTTGGCTGCATAAATGTCTTCTTTTGAGAAGTGTCTGTTCATATCCTTCGCCCACTTGTTGATGGGGTTGTTTGATTTTTTTGTTGTAAATTTGTTTAAGTTCTTTGTAGCTTCTGGATATTAGCCCTTTGCCAGATGGGTAGATTGCAAAATTTTTCCCCATTCTGTAGGTTGCCTGTTCACTGTGATGATAGTTTCTTTTGCTGTGCAGAAGCTCTTTAGTTTAATTAGATCCCATTTGTCTATTTTGGCTTTTGTTGCCATTGCTTTTGGTGTTTTAGTCATGAAGCATTTATCCATGCCTATGTCCTGAATGGTATTGCCTAGGTTTTCTTCTAGGGTTTTTATGGTTTTAGGTCTTATGTTTAAGTCTTTAATACATCTTGAGTTAATTTTTGTATAAAGTGTAAGGAAGGGATCCTGTTTCAGCTTTCTACATATGGCTAGCCAGTTTTCCCAGCACCATTTATTAAACAGGAAATCCTTTCCCCATGCTTGTTTTTATCAGGTTTGTCAAAGATCAGATGGTTGTAGATGTGTGGTGTTATTTCTGCGGCCTCTGTTCTGTTCCATTTGTCTATATATCTGTTTTGGTACCACTACCATGCTGTTTTGGTTACTGTAGTCTTGTACTATAGTTTGAAGTCAGGTAGCGTGCTGCCTCCAGCTTTGTTCTTTTTGCTTAGGATTGTCTTGGCAATGTGGGCTCTTTTTTTGTTCCATATGAACTTTAAAGTAGTTTTTTCCAATTCTGTGAAGAAAGTCATTGGTAGCTTGATGGGGATGGCATTGAATCTATAAATTACCTTGGGCAGTATGGCCATTTTCACGATATTGATTCTTCCTATCCATGAGCATAGAATGTTCTTCCGTTTGTTTGTCCTCTTTTATTTTGTTGAGCAGTGGTTTGTAGTTCTCCTTGAAGAGGTCCTTCACATCCCTTGTAAGTTGGATTCCTAGGTATTTTATTTTCTTTGTAGTAATTGTGAATGGGAGTCCATTCATGATTTGGCTCTCTGTTTGTCTGTTATTGGTATATAGGAATACTTGTGATTTTTGTGCAATGATTTTGTGTCCTGAGACTTTGCTGAAGTTGCTTATCAGCTTAAGGAGATTTTGGGCTGAGATGATGGTGTTTTCTAAATATACAGTCATGTCATCTGCAAACAGAGACAATTTGACTTCCTCTTTTCCTAATTGAATACCCTTTATTTCTTTCTCTTGCTTGATTGCCCTGGCCAGAACTTCCACCACTATGTTGACTAGGAGTGGTGAGAGAGGGCAACCTTGTCTTGTGCCAATTTTCAAAGGGAATGCTTCCAGTTTTTGCCCATTCAGTATGATATTGACTGTGGGTTTGTCATAAATAGCTCTTATTATTTTGAAATACGTCATCAATACATAGTTTATTGAGAGTTTTTAGCATGAAGGGTTGTTGAATTTTTGTCGAAGGCCTTTTCTACATCTATTGAGATAATCATGTGGTTTTTGTCGTTGGTTCTGTTTATGTGATGGATTACATTTATTGATTTGCATATGTTGAACCAGCCTTGAATCCCAGGGATGAAGCCGGCTTGATCATGGTGGATAAGCTTTTTGATGTGCTGCTGGATTTCGTTTGCCAGTATTTTATTGAGGATTTTTGCATTGATGTTCATCAGGGATATTGGCTTAAATTTTCTTTTTTTGTTGTGTCTCTGCCAGGCTTTGGTATCAGGATGATGCTGTTCTCATGAAATGAGTTAGGGAGGATTCTCTCTTTTTCTATTGATTGGAATAGTTTCCGAAGGAATGGTACCAACTCCTCTTTGTACCTCCAGTAGAATTTGGCTGTGAATCCGTCTGGTCCTGGACTTTTTTTGGTTGGTAGGCTATTAATTATTGCCTCAATTTCAGAGCCTGTTATTGGTCTATTCAGGGATTCAACTTCTTCCTGGTTTAGTCTTGGGAGGGTGTATGTGTCCAGGAATTTATTCATTTCTTCTAGATTTTCTAGTTTATTCGTGTAGAGGTGTTTATAGTATTCCTGATGGTAGTTTGTATTTCTGAGGGATTGGTGGTGATGTCCCCTTTATCATTTTTTATTGTGTCTATTTGATTCTTCTCTCTTTTCTTCTTTATTAGTCTTGCTAGCAGTCTATCAATTTTGTTGATCTTTTCAAAAAACCAGCTCCTAGATTCACTGATTTTTTGGAAGGGTTTTTTGTGTCTCTATCTCCATCAGTTCTGCTCTGATCTTAGTAATTTCTTGCCTTCTGCTAGCTTTTGAATGTGTTTGCTCTTGCTTCTCTAGTTCTTTTAATTGTGATGTTAGGGTGTTGATTTTAGATCTTTCCTGCTTTCTCTTGTGGGCATTTAGTGCTCTAAATTTCCCTCTACACACTGCTTTAAATGTGTCCCAGAGATTCTGGTATGTTGTGTCTTTGTTCTCATTGGTTTCAAACAACATCTTTATTTCTGCCTTCATTTCATTATTTACCCAGTAGTCATTCAGGAGCAGGTAGTTCAATTTCCATGTAGTTGTGCAGTTTTGAGTGAATCTTAATCCTGAGTTCTAATTTGATTGCACTGTGGTCTGACAGACAGTTTGTTGTGATTTCTGTTCTTTTATATTTGCTGAGGAGTGTTTTACTTCCAATTATGTGGTCAATTTTAGAATAAGCGCGATGTGGTGCTGAGAAGAATGTATATTCTGTTGATTTGGGGTGGAGAGTTCTGTAGATGTCTATTCGGTCCCCTTGGTCCAGAGCTGAGTTCAAGTCCTGGATATGCTTGTTAACCTTCTGTCTCATTGATCTGTCTAATATTGACAGTGGGGTATTAAAGTCTCCCATTATTACTGTGTGGGAGTCTAAATCTCTTTGTAGGTCTCTAAGGACTTGCTTTATGAATCTGGGTGCTCCTGTTTGGGGTGCATATGTATTTAGGATAGTTAGTTCTTCTTATTGAATTGATCCCTTTACCATTATGTAATGCCCTTCTTTCTCTCTTTTGATCTTTGTTGGTTTGAAATCTTTTTTTTTTTTTTTAGTCAGAAACGAGGATTGCAACCCCTGATTTTTTTTTTGCTTTCCATTTGCTCGGTAGATCTTCCTCCATCCCTTTATTTTGAGCCTATTTGTATCTTTGCACATGAAATGGGTCTCCTGAATACAGTACAACGATGGGTCTTGACTTTTTATCCAATTTGTCAGTCTGTTTTTCAGTTGGGGCATTTAGCCTATTTACATTTAAGATTAATATTGTTATGGGTGAATTTGATCCTGTCACTATGATGTTAGCTGGTTATTTTGCCCATTAATTGATGCAGTTTCTTCATAGTGTCAATGGTCTTTACACTTTGGCATGTTTTTGCAGTGGCAGTGGCTGATACCAGTTGTTCCTTTCCATGGTTAGTGCTTCCTTCAGGAGCTCTTGTAAAGCAGGCCTGGTGGTGACAAAATCTCTCAACATTTGCTTGTCTGTAAAGGATTTTATTTCTCCTTCACTTATGAAGCTTAGTTTGGCTGGATATGAAATTCTGGTTTGAAAATTCTTTTCTTAAAAATGTTGAATATTGGCCCCCACTCTCTTCTGGCTTGTAAGGTTTCTGCTGAGAGATCTGCTGTTAGTCTGATGGGCTCCCCTTTGTGGGTGACCCGACCTTTCTCTCTGGCTGCCCTTAACATTTTTTCCTTCATTTCATCCTTGGTGAATCTGACAATTGTGTGTCTTGGAGTTGCTCTTCTTAAGAAGTATCTTTGTGGTGTTCTTTGTATTTCCTAAATTTGAATGTTTTCCTGCCTTGCTAGGTTAGGGAAGTTCTCCTGGATAACATCCTGAAGAGTATTTTGTAACTTGGTTCCATTCTCCCCGTCACTTTCAGGTACACCAGTCAAATGTAGATTTGGTCTTTTCACATAGTCCCATATTTCTTGGAGGCTTTGTTCATTTCTTTTCATTCTTTTTTCTCTAATCTTGTCTTCTTGCTCTATTTCATTGAGTTGATCTTCAATCACTGATACCCTTTCTTCCACTTGATTGAATCAGCTACTGAAGCTTGTGCATGAGTCATGTAGTTCTCGTGCCATGGGTTTCAGCTCCATCAGGTCATTTAAGGTCTTCTCTATACCGTTTATTCTAGTTAGCCATTTGTCTAACCTTTTTTCAAGGTTTTCAGCTTCCTTGCGATGGGTTTGAACATCCTCCTTTAGCTCGGAGAAGTTTGTTACCAACCTTCTGAAGCCTACTTCTGTCAACTTGTCAAACTCATTCTCCATCCAGTTTTGTTCCCTTGCTGGTGAGGAGCTGTGATCCTTTGGAGGAGAAGAGGCAATCTGGTTTTTGGAATTTTCAGCTTTTCTGCTCTGGTTTCTTCCCATCTTTGTGGTTTTTTCTACCTTTGGTCTTTGATGTTGGTGACCTACAGATGGGGTTTTGGTGTGGATGTCCTTTTTGTTGGTGTTGATGCTATTCCTTTCTGTTTGTTAGTTTTCCTTCTAACAGTCAGGACCCTCAGCTGCAGGTCTGTTGGAATTTGCTGGAGGTCCACTCCAGACCCTGTTTGCCTGGATATCACTAGCGGAGGCTGCAGAACAGCAAATATTGCTGCCTGATCCTTCCTCTGGAAGCTTTGTTCCAGAGGTGCACCTGCCTGTGTGAGGTGTCTGTTGGCCCCTACTGGGAGGTGTCTCCCAGTCAGGGTACACGGGGGTCAAGGACCGACTTGAGGAGGCAGTCTGTCCATTTTCGGAGCTCAAATGCCATGCTGGGAGAACCACTGCTCTCTTCAGAACTGTCAGACAGGGGCGTTTAGGTCTGCCAAAGCTGTCTGCTGCCTTTTGTTCTGACATGCCCTGCCCACAGAGGTGGAATCTAGAGAGGCAGTAGGCCTTGCTGAGCTGCAGTGGGCTCCACCCAGTTCAAGCTTCCCGGCCTGTTTACACTGTGAGCATAAAACTGCCTACTCAAGCCTCAGGAATGGCGGACGCCCTCCCACCCCCCCAACAAGCTGCAGCATGCCAGGCCAATCTTAAGACTGCTGCACTGGCAGTAAGCAAGGATCCATGGGCATGAGCCCCACCGAGCCAGGCACGGGAGGGAATCTCCTGGTCTGTCAGTTGTGAAGACCATGGGAAAAGCCCAGTATTTGGGCAGGAGTGTACTGTTCCTCCAGGTACAGTCTGTCACGGCTTCCCTTGGCTAGGAAAGGGAAATCCCCTGACCCCTTGCACTTCCCAGGTGAGGCGATGCCCTGCCCTGCTTTGGCTCGCCCTCCATGGGCTGCACCCACTGTCCAACTAGTCCCAATGAGATGAACCAGGTACCTCAGCTGGAAATGCAGAAATCACCCATCTTCTGTGTTGGTCTTGCTGAGAGCTGCAGACCGGAGCTGTTCCTATTCCAGCAAGATGCTTTTAAAACCTTAGAGATGATGGATCCCAGACACCAAGCTTCTGGCTGTGGCTTGGCCTTTCTAAGTATTCAACAAGTCTGTCTTTTCCAAGTGTCTTTAAAGACCAGAAATACCTGTTTTTAACACACAGGGTTGCAAAATTCAGAGGAGATTGGCGAGCATCCCTCTTGTCTGCCCCACATGTGTTTCTTTGCCAGAGGCCACCGTGGCGAGCAGGGGCCTGTGACTGCCCCAACCAAAATTTTGGAAAGTCATTCTGGCGCTACCAGATGCCCCGAGGTTCCCAGGTTGGAGTCTTTCTCTCCCACTGGGTTTCTCCTGCAACTCTTCCCAGCCCACTGGCCCCACTGCCAGAGCACACAGGAGTCCGGACACACACCGCGGGACAGCCTGACTCGCTACTGCTCTCTGCACGTGCTATATGAGAGGGTTCTTTTGAGAACAGAAAATGCAGTGACTGAGCAGGAAAGGGTGAAGGAGGAAAACCAGAGGTCGCATGCAGCCAACCAGGCATTACAAAAATGCCTTCTGGAAAAGTGCACTTGGAGTTGGTTTCCAGAGAAAATGAAAAGTCCCTCCAGAGAAATGTAAAGGCCAGAGAAACGAAGACTCAGAGAATGAAAAGGCCAACCCTGCTCATCCAGTAGCCCAGGGCTAGCCCAGACAGACCCATTCTCTTGTTGGGCTTATGACTCTGGGTGAGTCTTGGTTTCTTTCTCACCCCAAAGCCAATGTTAAACCTACAAATGAAAAAGAACACTTAAAAGGATGATCTGGGCCAGGTTCAGTGGCTCACGCCTGTTATCCCAGCACTTTGGGAGGCTGAAGCGGGTGGATCTCTGGAGGTCAGGAGTTTGAGACCAGCCTGGCCAACCTGACAAAACTCTGTCTCTACTAAAAATACAAAAGTTAGCCAGGAGTGGTGGCGGGTACCTGTAATCCCAGCTACTTGGGAGGCTGAGGCTGGAGAATCACTTGAACCCAGCAGGCAGAGGTTGTAGTGAGCTGAGATCTGCCACTGCACTCCAGCCTGGGCAACAAGGGTGAAACTCTGTCTCGAAAAAAAAAAAAAAGGATGATCAGCAACTTGGCAAATCGTAGCCATGTTTGTTAAGTGGAGGAAAAGTATTAAACATATTATGAAAACAGAAATGGTAGTCATGTCAAACAAACAAACATTACATATGTAGGGAAAAAGATTGGCAACAAATACACAAAAAATAAAGTTCTGTTTTGATATTCTGAATTTGAGTGGTTCCCCACACCCTCTACAATTTCCAAGTTTTATGAAACATGTTGTCTCCTTTAATTAAGGCAGCAGTAACCTCTACGCACGTGATCCCCACTGCACTCTAAAACTTCCAATTAGGCCGGGCGTGGTGGCTCATTCCTGTAATCCCAGCACTGTGGGAGGCCTAGGTGGAGAGGATCACTTGAGTCCAGGAGTTGGAGACCAGCCTGGGCAACATGCTGAAACCGTCTCTACAATAAATACAAAAATTAGTGGGGCATGGTGGCACACACCTGTAGTTCCAGCTACTTGGGAGACTGAGACGAGAGGATTGCTTGACTCTGGGAGATCCAGGTTGTAGTGAACCAAGATCATGCTGTGTCCGGAATTGTTGGGTTCTTAGTCTCGCTGACTTCAAGAATGAAGCCGTGTACCCTCGCGGTGAGTGTTACAGTTCTTAAAGATGGTGTGTCCAGAGTTTGTTCCTTCAGATGTTCAGATGTGTCCAGAGTTTCTTCCTTCTGGTGGGTTCATGGTCTCACTGACTTCAGGAGTGAAGCTGCAGACTTCCGCGGTGAGTGTTATAGCCCTTAAAGGTGGCATATCTGGAGTTGTTCGTTCCTTCTGGTGGGTTCGTGGTCTTGCTGGCCTCAGGAGTGAAGCTGCAGACCTTCGCAGTGAGTGCTACAGTTCATAAAGGTGGTGCACCCGAAGTTGTTTGTTCCTCCCGTCTGGAGTTGTTTATCCCTCCCAGTGGGTTTGTGGTCTCGCTGGCTTAAGGAGTGAAGCTGCAGACCTTCACAGTGAGTGTTAACAGTTCATAAAAGCAGCGTAGACGCAAAGAGTGAGGAGCACTAAGATTTACTGCAAAAAGCAAAAGAACAAAGCAGCTTTTACAGTGTGGAAGAGGACCCGAGCATGTTGCCGCCGCTGGCTTGGGTGGCCTGCTTTTATTCCCCCATCCGGCCCCACCCACATCCTGCTGATTGTTCTATTTTACAGAGAGCTGATTGGTCCATTTTACGGAGAGCTGATTGGTTCATTTTACAGAAAGCTGATTGGTCCGTTTTGACAGAGTGCTTATTGGTGTGTTTACAATCCTTTAGCTAGACACAGAGTGCTGATTGGTGAGTTTACAATCCTTTAGCTAGACACAAAAGTTCTCTAAATCCCCACCAGATTAGCTAGACACAGAGTGGTGATTGGTGCATTTACAAACTTTTAGCTAGACACAGAGTGCTGATTGGTGCGTTTACAATCCTTTACCTAGACACAGAGTGCTGATTGGTGCGTTTACAATCCTTTAGCTAGACACAGAGTGCTGATTGGTGCATTTACAATCCTTTAGCTAGACACAAAAGTTCTCCAAGTCCCCACCCGACCCAGAAGCCCAGCTGGCTTCACCTCTCAATGGCACTCCTGGGACTTTGCCGCGCCTAGTGGGGCACTCCGGCAGCCCAGAGGGCGCTCCTCCCCCACCCCCCCATCAAGCCCAGCAGGCGACGCCAACCTTGCCCCCAGTGCAGGGCCTGCCTAGCCCGCACCCACCCGGAACACCACTGGCCCGGGAGCACCACGCGCAGCCCCTGTTCCCACTGGCGTCTCTCCCTCCACACCTCCCCCCAAGCAGAGGGAGACGGCTCCGGCCTCAGCCAGCCCCAGAGAGGGGCCCCCACAGCACAGCAGTGGGCTGAAGGGCTCCTCGAGCCCGGCCAGAGCAGACACCGAGGCCGAGGAGGCGCCAAGAGCAAGCAAGGGCTGCTAGCAGGTTGTCACCTCTCAATGCCACTGCACTCTAGCCTGAGTAACAGAGCAGATCTGGTGTCAAAAAATAAAATAAAAAATAAAGAAAGAGACCAGGCACGGTGGCTCACGCCTGTAATCCCAGCACTTTGGGAGGCTGAGGTGGGCAGATCACGAGCTCAGGAGTTTGAGACCACCCTGGCCAACATGGCAAAACCTTGTCTCTACTAAAAGTACAAAAATTAGCTGGGCATGGTGGTGGGTGCTTGTATTCCCAGCTACTCAGGAGGCTGAGGCAGGAGAATCACTTGCATCTGGGAGGCAGAGGTTGCAGTGAACCCAGATCGCGCCACTGCACTCTAGCCTGGGCAACAAGAGTGCAACTTCGTCTCAAAAAAATAAATAAAGAAAAATAAAATGAAACCTCCAATTAAAAGGAGAAATTCAACCAGGTGCAGTGGCTCACGCCTGTATCCCAACACTTTGGGAGGCCAAGGTGGGTGGATCGCTTGAGGTCAGGAGTTCGAGACCAGCCTGACCAACATGGTGAAACCCCATCTCTACTAAAAATACAAAAAATTAGCTGGATGTGGTGGTGCACACCTGTAGTCCCAGCTACTCGGGAGTCTGAGGCAGGAGAATTGCTTAAACTTGGGGCGTGGAGGTAGCAGTGAGCCGAGATCACGCCATTGCATTCCAGCTTGGGTGACAGAGCGAGACTCAGTCACAAATAAATAAATAAATAAATAGGCCAGGTGCGGTGGCTCACGCCTGTAATTCCAGCACTTTGGGAGGCCGAGGTGGGCGGATCACCTGAGGTCAGGAGTTCGAGACCAGCCTGCCCAACATGGTGAAACCCCATGTCTACTAAAAATACACACACAGACACAAAATAGCCAAAATTAGCCAAAAAATTATAAATAAATAAAATAAAAAGATAAGTTGCACACTCAGGAGGCTGAGGCAGGAGACTCGCTTGAACCCAGGAGGTGGAGGCTGCAGTGAGCCGAGACCACGCCATTGCACTCCAGTCTGGGCGACAAAGCAAGACTCTGTCTCAAAAAAAAAAAAAAAAAGACAAATTCAGCAGAAGCATTGCTTGAGTAACACGGAAACTCAGAACCAGGAAACTGAAGGCGGTTACTCCACATACATCTGGGGCAATAAGTGAGCTGTTCCAGCGCGGCTTACGCTGTGGGCGGAGGCGGGCAGGAAATTCACTTACAAGTCTGTGCCAGGAAACAGGAAGAAGGTGCCTCCTGTGATACAAGATACAGACGTAGTCTCCTATCCAGGAAACAGGGACAGAGCCGCAGACCAGATAAAGATACGACCAACATTTTTCATTAAATATTCTCAACGGATTATTTACATTTTTTCTAGAAAAGTAAAATTTAAACCTGAATACATTTGATAACTATGGAATGTGAGCATTCACGTATGCTTGTGACCTGGTTCCTCTACGCTTCAGGGGTCGCCCTGGTCCCAAAGCGCTTCCTGCCGCTCCCACTTCCTCTGTTTTCACCGGAGGGGCAGCCACAGTTCTCGGCTGAGAGAAACTCGGTCGTTCTGTTTACCTCGTGAATGATTGGCTACAGATCCCAGAGAGGAAATAGGGACCCACCCCTCAGTTGTTATGCAATCTGGGGCGGAGTCCGGGGTCCATAGCCTTTCTGAGGGTAACCTGAGCGGGAGAAGTTGTTGCGCCTGATCTCAAACAGCCTTTCGCACGGAAAAGGATTCCTAAAAGTGGGGTTACTCCTCCACAGCAATAGCGTCCTTAAAATAGGGGCTCCCGGCTGGGCGCGGTGGCTCACCCCTGTAATCCCAGCACTTGAGAGGCCAAGACAGGCGGATCACCTGAGGTTGGGAGTTCGAGACCAGCCTGAACAACATGGAGAAACCCCCTCTCTACTAAAAATACAAAATTAGCTGGGTGTGGTGGCGCATGCCTGTAATACAAGCTACTCGGGAGGCTGAGGCAGGAGAATCGCTTGAACCTGGGAGGCGGAAGTTGCGGTGAGCCGAGATGGCGCCATTGCACTATAGCCTGGGCAGCGGCAAGAGCGAAACTCCGTCTCAAAAAAAAAAAAAAAAAAAAAAAAACTATATATCTATCTATCATCTATCTATCTATCTATCTATCTATCTATCTATCTATCTAGGCTGCCGGTGAGGACGTGAGGCACGTGCCACTGAGCCACTGAGAATTTACCCCCCTGGGCAAGTCTGTGAGGCCAGGGCCCCTAGGGAAAAAAGCCTTTCCCAGATTTTAGGGCTCATATGCCTGCAGTGGGTTGGTAGGGATCGGGGAAGATGATGAGGTTGGGATAAGGAAGTGGTACCAATAGAAAGACTAAGCAAACCAAACCAAATCAAACTTTCCCCTTTCCATCCCTGTCCTCCTCTTTGCAATCCCATTTGGGTGGCTGAAGGCAGACCCTGACCAGAGCCATCCTTGCCGGCTTCTTTTGTCTTGCTCTGTGGGGAAACGAGTGAAGAAAAAAGCAGAAGGAAAGGCAAGTGAAATGGAGCCCTCTGTGAAGAACTACGACTAGGGTCACACAGAGCAAAATTCCTAGCCTTCCTTTGAGGAGTAGCCGTATTTCCATTTAAAAAAGACCCACTTTATGCAAGATTCAGGGCTGGGAATTGGTCCTTCCTGCCTCAAGAATTTCAAAGACTTCTAGAGGAGAGTGTCCAAAGACAGACAAGAAAGTGGCCAGTGCCCTGAAGAAAGTCAGGGGGTCCAGGGGAGTGTGAACCCTGAATATCTGAGACAGGTCTCAGTTAATTTAGAAAGTTTATGTTGTCAGGGTTGAGGATGTGTGTCGGTGACACAGCCTTAGGAAGTCCTGATGACATGTGCCCAAGTTGTCAGGGCACAGCTTGGTTTTATACATTTTAGGGAGACATGAGACATCAATCAACATATGTAAGATTAACATTGGTTCGGTCTGGAAAGGCGGGACAACTTGAAGCAATGGTGGGACAACTCCAAGTGGCGAGGGGGCTTCCAGGTCATAGGTAGATAAGAGACAAATGGTTACTTTCTTTTGAGTTTCTTTTTTTTTGAGATGGAGGCTCGCTCCTGTTGCACAGGCTGGAGTGCAGTGGTGCGATCTTGGCTTGTTGCAACCTCCACCTCCCAGGTTCAAGCGATTCTCATTCCTCAGCCTCCCGAATAGCTGGGATTACAGGCATGTGCCACCACGCTGAGCTAATTTTTGTATTTTTAGTAGAGACGGGGTTTCACCATGTTGGCCAGGCTGGTCTCGAACTCCTGGCCTCGGGTGATCCACCCGCCTCGGCCTCCCAAAGTGCTAGGATTACAGGTGTGAGCCACTGTGCCCGGCCTCTTTTGAGTTTCTGATTAGCCTCTCCAAAGGAGGCAATCAGATAGCATTTATCTCAGTAAGCAGAGGAGTGACCGAATAGAATGAGACGTAGGTTTGCTCTCAGCAGTTCCCAACTTGACTTTTCCCTTTAGCTTAGTGATTTTCGGGCCCCAAGATTTATTTTCCTTTCACAGGTATCCCCTGTTCAGTTCAGACTGAACCTGAGGGGGTGTAGGGATGTACTCCAGGCTGGAGTGAAGTGGCATGATCTCGGCTCACTGCAACGTCTGCTTTCTAGGCTCAAGAGATCCTCCCAACTCAGCCTCCTGAGTAACTGGGATTTCAGGTGAGCACAACCATGCCCAGCTAATTTTTGTATTTTTAGTAGAGACGGGGTTTTGCCCTGTTTCCCAGGCTGGTCTGGAACTCCTGAACTCAGGTGATCCACCCACCTCGGCCTCCCAAAGTGCTGGGAATACAGGCGTCAGCCACTGTGCCCAGCCAAATTCTACGTCTTTTAAAAAATTAAGAGAAGAAATTAGTAAAATACACTTAAAGTTTTTCGTATGAAACTTATTTAGTGTTTCTGATGATTTGTTCTTGTGGATTGGACTTACAATCTGATGTGGTTCCTTTGTTTCAATGTAACTCCATCTTTTCCCTATCCTTTGTACCATTATTGTCATATGTGTGTGAGTGCATATATACACACACATTATCTTTAGATGTTACAAACCCAACACTGTAATTTTATAATTGTTGTTTTATGTAATTTCTTTTAAAACAGTTAAGAAATGAAAAGGAGCCAGGCATGGCGGTGTGCATCTGTAGTCCCAGCTACTCAGGAGGAGGCTGAGGTGAGGGGATCACTTGAGTCCAGGATTTGAGGCTGCAGTGAGCGATGGTCAAACCACTGCACTCCATCCTGGGTGAGAGAGTGAGACCTTGTCTCTCAAAAAAGAAAAAGAAAAAAAAGAGATTTGTAGTTTTTAGTTTTTAGTTTTTAAAAAATAATTACCAACATATTATTTTTTCTGATGCTGTTTGTTTCTTTTACAAATTTTACTTTTTTTAATGTAATATTTTTGAGATGGAGTCTTGCTCTGTTGCCCAGGCTGGACTACAGTGGTGTGATCTTGGCTCACTGCAGACTCCACCTGCTGGGTTCAAGTGATTCTTGTGCCTCAGCCTCCCAAGTAGCTGGGATTACAGGTGTGCGCCACTGTGCCTAGCTACAAGTTTTATCTTTAATTGACATACAATAATTGTTTTTCATTGGATTGGGATTATTATCTGGTGTCATTTCTTCTCAGTCTGAAGAACTTACTTTAGTATTACATTAGTGTTTCTTGTAAGACATATCTGCAAGAGATAAATCTCCCTAGTCTTTGTTTATCTAAGAATATGTTCATGTTGGCTTCTCTTTTTGTTTTCTTTAGAATAAATTTTGGTTTTGGAGACAGGGTCTCGCTCTGTTGCCCAGGCCGGAGTGTAGTGGCATGATCATGTCTCATTGCAACCTCAATCTCTTGGGCCTAAGAGAGCCTCCTGCCTCAGCCTCCTGAGTAGCTAGGACTACAGGTGTGCACTACCACACATGGCTAAATTTTTTTTTTTTTTTTTTTTGCAGAGACAGGGTCTTACTTTGTTGCCCAGGCTGGTCTTGAACTCCTGGGTTCAAGCGATCCTCCCACCTTGGCCTCCCAAAGTGCTGGGATTATGGGTGCAAACCACTGTCCCTGTACCGGTCTTCAGTTTTGAAGGATAATTTTTCTTGATGTAAAATTCTTGATTGCTAGCTTCTCCCCACTAACCCCCAAATTTGCATATGTTACTGTCTTCTTTAATTTTTTTTTTTTTTGAGACAGAGTCTTGCTCTGTTGCCCAGGCTGGAGTGCAGTGGCACAATCTTGGCTCACTGCAGCCTCCGCCTCCCGGGTTCAAGCAATTCTCCTGCCTCAGCCTCCCGAGTAGCTGGGATTACAGGCATGTACCACCACACCCAGCTAATTTTTATATTCTTAGTAGAGATGGGGTTTCACCATGTTGGCCAGGCTGGTCTTGAACTCTTGACCTCGTGATCTGCCTGCCTCAGCCTCCCAAAGTGCTGGGATTATAGACATGAGCCACGGCACCCAGCCCATGTTACAGCCTTCTAACCTCCATTGTTACTGATGAGGTTAGCTATTAAGATTATTGTGTCTGTGTGTATGAGTGTATTTGTATGAGATGAGTTTTTTCTCATTGCTTTTAAGATGTCATTTCTATTTTTGGCTGGTAATAGTTTCAGTATAATATATTAATGTTTAGGTGTGAATCAATTTTTTTTTTTTTTTTGAGACAGAGTCTCACTCCATTTCCAGGGCTGGAGTATAGTGGCATGATATTAGCTCATTGCAACCTCTGACTCCGTGGTTCAAGCAATTCTCCTGCCTCAGCCTCCCGAGTAGCTGGGATTACAGGTGTGCATCACCATGCCCAGCTAATTTTTGTATTTTTATTGAGACAGATTTCACCATGTTGGCCAGGCTGGTCTCGAACTCCTGACCTCAAATGATCCACACACCTCAGCCTCCCAAAGTGCAGGGATTACAGGCATGAGCCACCGTGCCTGGCCGACAATTTCTATTGACTGTTTCTCCCTGCAAATGGATTGCATTTTCCTATTTCTTTGCCCTTTTGTAACTTTTTTGGAAAACTGAAAATTTTAGACAATATATGCTAGCTCTGGATTCCAATTTCTTTCTCTTGGGGGTGAAGGTGGTTGTTGTTTTGTTTGTTTTTATAGTGACTTGCCTGTACTAATTCTGTGGAGTCCCTTTCCCTTGCAGTATGAGGGTTCAGATATTTTTATAGTGACTTGCCTGTACTAATTCAGTGGAGTCCTTTTCCCTTGCAGTATGCAGTATGAGGCTTCAGATATTTCTGCTCAGATATTTCTGCTCAGGTTCCTTTTTGTTTTTGAGACAGAGCTTCACTCTTGTTGCCCAGGCTAGAGTGCAACGGCGTGATCTCGGCTCACTGCAACCTCTGCCTCCTGGGTTCAAGCGATTCTCCTGCCTCAGCCTCCCGTCCTTTTTTAATTCTTATGTTTATTTTTAAGCCTGAATTCTTAGGGGTTGCCCCTGGATCAGCATAGCTTAATGGTCAGCCAGTGATCTGTTAGAGTTTGTGCTTAAATGCCTTAAGCCAGTAAGGCTTCTAACCCTGCTGTTGGAGCTGTGTGTGATTTGGAGGGTACTTTCAAAGTTCAGAGAGTTTACAAGTGAGCCATGGCTTTCTCTTTATTTCTGAGACCTCATATTTAGTTGCAGGGAGGAGTAGCTTCCTATAGCCTTCTCAAGTCTCTCTTCTAAGCAGTTATAACCCTGTGTGCTGCACATAGCTTTTTAAACTACCAAAGTTAAATGGTATTTTACTAAGGCATTCTTTGTCTGTTTTGTTCCTTTGATTTCCCTTTTAAATTTCTGGCTAGTCTGCTATTTTGCTGCTTCTCCCAACCATTGTCATGACGCAGGCTAGCCACACCGTTAGGCTTTGCTAATGAATTCTTCTGTGAAAAAGTACTGCCACATCTTCCCATTTATTTATTTAAGAATTTCTTTTATCAATATGGGCTAATGGATACTTATTTTATTCTATGGGTTATAATCCAATTCCATTATTACTTATTTTGTTGCTCAAATTGTTTCCATTTTAACTATTGGAATTATTTCCAGTTGGCTCCTGTGTCCCTTTGATATGGTTCTCACCTTTTAATCGAGCATGTAAATACTTTCTGACATCATAGGATGCCCCAGTCCTAGAATCGACCGTTTCTCCAAGGAGCCGGAATGCCGTTTTGTTTTCAATTTAAATTTTTTTTGTGTAGAGATAGTGTCTCACTATGTTGCCCAGGCTAGCCTCGAAATCCTGGCCTCAAGCGATCCTCCTGCCTCAGCCTCCCAAAGTGCTAGTATTACAGGCGTGAACCACCATATCTGGCCTGTCAGATTCTTTTAATTTTTGGTTTTTAACTTTTTATTATTGAAAACTTAAAATTTATAAAAAATTAGAAAGAATAGCAAAGTGTTTCCATCACTCAGCTTCAACAATCATCCCTCCCTTAGAGAATCCTAGTAATCTGAACAGGAATGTGGATCAGCAAGGCCTGTTTAGGTGACTAAAGCAGTGAAAATTATCTCCATCAATTGTGTGGGATGAATTTTCAACAGCAACACCTATAGCAGAGAAAAGCAACAGCTTCTTTTCTGTTCTTAGCACTGAAGGGGACTACGAGTGTACCCTTTGGCTGTGGGGTGCTTAGACATTTCACAGGAAGCCTCAAGAGGTATTAGAATGGATCACTGGAAAAATAAAGTTGTGAATATATTTGTATCTTGGGTTTTTAGTGGAAGCTCACATTAGTTACAGTTATGACAAAACCTATTCTCTGTACACCCAAGGGTCTTTTTTGGTCACAAGAGAATATTTTCAAGGGGAATTTAAAAACATAAGAAACCACGTTTACGCTGGGCACAGTGGCTCATGCCTGTAATCCCAGCACTTTGGGAATCTGAGGTGGGCAGACCACTTGAGCCCAGGAGTTTGAGACCAGCCTGGCCAACATGGTGAAACCTCGTCTCTACCAAAAATACAAATAATAATAATAATAATAATAATAAAAATAAAGCAGGGCATGGTGGCGTGCACCTGTAGTCCCAGCTACTGGGGAGGCTGAAGTGGGTGGGAGAATTGCTTTAACTGGGGAGGCAGAGGTTGCAGTGAGCTGAGATTGTGCCACTGCACTCCAGCCTGGGTGACAGAGTGAGAGCCTGTCTAAAAAACAAACAAACAAACAAAAAACCACGTTTAGTCTGAGGAACAGTACCTCGTGGTACATTGCCATAATTAGTTCCCAAGAGAAGATTGAGTGTCAGGCCCTGGAGAGGCCTGGAGCACTAATCAGGGAACCAAGGCTGGGGAGGGTGGGGGAAGGCCCAGCTAGATCTTTCGTTCCTGATCTTCTTTCTCATGATCCAAAGAGATGTACTTATTACTTTTTGTCATTATGTCTGTTAAGTATTTTTAAATTCACTGGTTCTCTCTCATTTTTTTTTTTAGCTTTAACTTCCGCTACAGTTTACCACAACTTCCTGGTTCCTCCCCTTTGTGGTCACAAAAACATTTCCTAGTTGAGATACATTTTCTTGACTTGAGTCTCCTTTCTCTGGTTCATTTGGTGCCTTTATCAACTCTATGCATAGTGAGGTTTTAAGTCTTTATAAAGATCATTGGCACATGAGGGGGTCTGCAGCCTACTGTCCTATTTACTCAGTTTGGTGTTATTCTACTATATTTGTGATGTCAGGAGCCACACTGTCTGGAAATGATGCTGGGAGGTCATTCTGGGTTGCCTGAAAAACAAACTCATTAGAACCTGGGGCTCCCTCTTCTTCCAGTGAGTGGGGTTTCCAAAAGTTAGAATCCAGTGGAACCAGGGGTGTTTTTCTCACTCCTGGCAGAGGGACGTGTGACTAGCCATGGGCCCCTAGGTCTCCAGTTCCTGGGTAGCTTGTATTTTTGAACATCTCCTGTATATTAGTTATCATTACAGCATAAAAATTGTCCTAAAATAAGTGGCTTAAAACAACACACCCTTATTATCTCACAATATTTGAAGGACAGCAATTCAATACAGCATAGCTGGGTCCTCTCTTCAGGGCCCCTCAAGGCTGCAATCATAGTTGGGGTCTTCCCTGAAGACTCAACTAGGAAAGGATGAGCTTCCAAGCTCACTAACTTAGTTGTTGGTAGGAAGCACGAAGGGTGGTAGGACTGAAGGTTTGGTTCCTCTTGAATGTTGAGTTGAGAGCACTCTCAGTTCCTCACCACATGGACCTCCTTAACATGGCAGCTTGATTACTTGAGTCAGTAAATGAGTCTGCTAGCAAGATAAAAGCCACAAACTCTTATTGTCTACTCATGGATATGATAGACTTTCACCTTTGTCATATTCCATTGGTTAGAATTAAGTGACAAGGTCCATACCAAACTCAAGGTGGGAAGGATTCCACAAAGACTCGAATACTAAGATGGGGGATCATTAGAGACCATCTTAGAAGTCAGGTTAGCACAACCTGTCAATAACTGACACTCTAATCAAGAGTGCTAGGTGCCTACGCTGTTTGTGTGCCTCTTCATTGATAAGGCTGCTCTCATGCTTGACTCATAATGGAGAGCAATAACACACTGCCGCATCCCTCCCCTCCACCTGCATGTCCAGTAGTGTGCCTGGTTTGCTCTTCTATGGAAAAATAAAAGGAATTGGACTCATGCTTTCTCTTTACTTGCTGACACTGAATTGAAAATTCCCTCAAAAGCCTATTTCTTAACCCATAGCATGCGATATTCTGGCTTTTATCCTGAGCCCTGGTGAACAACAGGTGGTGACCCCAAGGGACCTGCTTTGCATGACAGCCTCACACCTGGTTTTCCTCTCAGTCCTCTCCCAGTCTCTCCTCTTTGCCTCATAAGTTTAGTTACACCCCGAACACTGTCTTTTGGCTATTTTGTGGATCCTGTTTGCAGCTTGAGGCACAGGTTATTCCTGCCCTTTGCCCACCATCTGCTCCTGGGACCCCAGCCTGAGTGGAAGAGGTCTTGGAGTGTGGCTTGGACATTATTAATCAGGTTTTCTCCACACCAGCACACATACACACCCATGTGCACACAAACACACAGGCACACCCCCCACACACATGCATGTGCGTGCACACACACACACATGCATGTCGACACACACACACACTTTGTTGTGGAATCTGGTGCCTGTGGTCTTATGTATTTTCGCAGGAATTTGTGCTTAATGGATATCCCGAGCAGTCTTCATTGGTTACCCACGCCCACTGTTATGCTTTATGAACAAACTCATGCATTCTTTCCTAAATAGACTGCATATTTCCTTTTCTTTTCTTTTCTTTCTTTCTTTTTTTTTGAGACGGAGTCTTGCTCTGTTGCCCAGGCTGGAGTGCAATGGGGGGATCTTGGCTCACTACAACCTCCGCCTCCTGGCTTCAAGCGATTCTCCTGCCTCATCCTCCCAAGTAGTTGGAATTACTGACGCCCTCTACCACGCCCGGCAAGTTTTGTATTTTTAGTAGAGACAGGGTTTCACTATGTTGGCCAGGCTGGTCTCAAACTCCTGACCTCAAGTGATCCACCTGCCTCAGCCTCCCAAAGTGTTGGGATTACAGGCATAAGCCATGGCGCCTGGCCATTTTTTTTTTTTTAAGAGACAGGGTCTCATCTCACTCTGTCACCCAGGCTAGAGTACAGTGGCATGATCACAGCTCTACTCTACTAAAAATACAAAAATTAGGCCGGGCGCAGTGGCTCACACCTGTAATCCCAGCACTTTGGGAGGCCGAGGTGGGTGGATCACCTGAGGTCGGGAGTTCAAGACCGGACTGACCAACATGGAGAAACCCTGCCTTGGCCGGGCACGGTGGCTCACGCCTGTAATCCCAGCACTTTGGGAGACTAAAGTGGGTGGATCACTTGAAGTCAGGAGTTTGAGACCAGCCTGGCCAACATGGTGAAACCCCGTCTCTATCAAAAATATAAAAATTAGCCAGGCACAGTGGCAGACGCCTGTAATCTCAGCTACTTGGGAGGCTGAGGCAGAAGAATCCCTTGAACCCGGGTGATGGAGTTTGCAGTGAGCCATCCTCACGAGATTGTGCCACTGCACTCCAGCCTGGGCGACAGAGCCAGACTCCATCCCAAAAAAAAAAAAAAAGAAAAAAAGAAAACCCGTCTCTACTAAAAATACAAAATTAGCGAGGTGTGGTGGCACATCCCTGTAATCCCAGCTACCTAGGAGGCTGAGGCAGGAATTGCTTGAACCTCGGAGGTGGAGGTTGCGGTGAACCAAGATTGCGCTATTGCACTCCAGCCTGGGCAACAAGAATGAAACTCCATCTCAAAACAAAAATAAAAATAAAAATACAAAAATTAGCCAGGCGTGGTGGCAGATGCCTGTAATCCCTGCTACTCAAGAGGCTGAGGTGGGAGGATTGCTTGAACTTGGGAGGCGGAGGTTGCAGTGAGCCGATATCCCGCCATTGCACTCCAGCCTGGGTGACAGCGTAAGACTCTGTCTCCAAAAAGAAAAGGGAATCCTACCTCCTGAGGGCCTCTGTTACTGTAATTTCTAAAAGTGCCCCACCTGACCCTTGAACCTAATCAACTCAATGTTAAAAGTCATAGCATAGTAGCTAATGCTCATATAGCCCTTTATGGCATTGTCTTACACACTGGCATCCAGCCAGTGTGCACTAGTACAGCCAATACTGATTGTTACAGAAAATAGAATGGTTATCGTGATAGGTGGTAAAATTAATAAGTACTAGAAATTCTAATATCTCATTAACTAATTAACTATTTGTCTTAGTCTATCACAGTGATCATCAATGGATGGGTCTCCTGCACTGCAGCATCTGAGAATCATTTATGGCACCACCGGCTGGTTCAGCCATGTCACCATTGTACATTCATTGTTTTGTGGTTTAGGAAAATCATCAGTTAATTGTTATCCTCACATGCTGTAACTTATAAATAGTATATTTGTTTGGCTTTTCCTTGTTTCTATTGTTATTGTGTTATTATTCATCTGGAAATAATAACTGTGCAGTGTTTTGATATCTATAAATTCAAGAACTTAGAATAGTAAACAGTAAGAGTGAAGTGACAAAGTTTAAATACATTTTATTTATTTATCTATTTACTTATTTTCTGAGATAAGAGTCTTACTCTGTTGCCCAGGCTGGAGTGCAGTGGTGTGATCTCGGCTCACTGCAACTTCTGTCTCCCAGGTTCAAGCGATCTTCCTGCCTCAGTCTCCTGAGTAGCTGGGACTACAGGTGTGTGCCACCACACCCACCAAATTTTTATATTTTTGTTTTATTTTATTTTTTTTGAGACAGAAGGGTTTTTGTTTTTTTTTTTTTTTGAGACAGAAGGGTTTTTTTTTTTTTTTTTTTTGAGACAGAGTTTCACTTTTGTTGCCCAGGCTGGAGTGCAATGGCGAAATCTCAGCTCACTGCAACCTCTGCCTCCCGGGTTCAAGCAATTCTCCTGCCTCAGCCTCCCAAGTAGCTGGGACTACAGGCATGTACCACCATGCCTGGCTAATTTTTTGTATTTTAGTGGAGACGGAGTTTCACGATGTTGGTCAGGCTGGTCTTGAACTCCTGACTTCAGGTGAGCCACCTGCCTTGGCCTCCCAAAGTGCTGGGATTACAGGCATGAGCCACCGCGCCCAGCCGATTTTTGTATTTTTAGTAGAGATGGGGTTTCGTCATGTTGGCCAAGCTGGTTTCAAACTCCTGACCTCAGGTGATCCATCAGCTTCAGCCTCCCAAAGTGCTGGGATTACAGGCATAAGCCACAGTGCCAGGCCTACATACATTTTAAACATTGCTTTTAGATACTGTAAACATGACTCTTCTGAATCTGAGACAAATCATGAAACCAATGGTATTAATATTGAATCACAGCCTGGAACAACTGATATGCAAAGATTATGGCAGGTGGGAATGCTTTCAGTATTGCATAAGATTCAGTTCAAAGGAAACAATAATTCACATTTCTAAAATTTAATTAAAAACCTGATAATTGGCCAGGTGTATTGGCTCATGCCTGTAATCCCAGCACTTTGGGAGCTCAAGGTGAGTGAATCACCTGAGGTTGGGAGTTCGAGACCAGCCTGACCAACATGGAGAAACCCTGTCTCTACTAAAAATATAAAATTAGCCAGGTGTGGTGGTGCATGCCTGTAATCCTAGCTACTGGGGAGGCTGAGGCAGGATAATCATTTGAACCCAGGAGGTGGAGGTTGCAGTGAGCTGAGATGGCGCCATTGCACTCCAGCCTGGGCAACAAGAGCAAAACTCCATGTCAAAAAACAAACAAACAAAAAACCCCTGATAATTTTGACAAAACTCACAGGTAGCTGATTATTGCTTGAAATGTAAATATTAAATGAAAACGATATGCAAAGCACACATCTTGTGGATGTGTGAAAAGGTGAATGTTCTAGCATATTGTCGGTGCTCAGAATTCAGGGAAAAACTAGTAATAAGAAGAATTTGAAGAATATTATGAATGAGCTTCACATAATGAAGTCTTTGAAATAATAAATCCCCTGAAATACTTTGTATCATAAAAAGAACAAAACATTGAAAAAGTACCATTAGAATGCTAATATTACCTACTGTGTAATTAGTCTACTGCTAAATAGAGTCTTAAAAAAGGTTGTAAATAGTGCATATCATTGCAGTCTACATTAATGGTTACAATGGTCACAAAACGTATATCTACCATGATGAGACAACTTTTTAGTAAATTTATAAATCTAGGCAATCAATCATCACCAAGAAAGCTTCAATTATGTAACAAAAAAAAATTTTTTTTTTTTGAGACGGAGTCTCACTCTGTCACCTAGGCTGGAGTGCAGTGGCGCGATCTCGGTTCACTGCAAGCTCCACCTCCCAGGTTCACACCATTCTCCTGCCTCAGCCTCCCGAGCAGCTGGGACTACAGGCGCCTGCCACCATGCCCGGCTAATTTTTTGTATTTTTAGTAGAGACGGGGTTTCACTGTGTTAGCCAGGATGGTCTTGATCTCCTGACCTCGTGATCCGCACACCTTGGCCTCTCAAAGTGCTGGGATTACAGGTGTGAGCCACCACGCCCGGCCACAAAAATGTGTTTTTATTAGTGACTTAAATACTAAATTTCAGACTTATAAAACTGATGATATAAAACTAATGATTTTTGCTCATCTGAGGAACTGAAATGATGTATCAAGCTTACTTACTCATCAGTGCTCAAGAAAAGTGGTTTTGATGTGAAATGGTTACACAATGCTACAGATGGTTCTAGTATATGTCACAGAGAAAGTTCAGAGAAGCCAAAGTTTTAGAGAAGTCTCTATATGGCCAGGCACAATGGCTCATGCCTGTAATCCCAGCACTTTGGGAGGCCAAGGCAGGCAGATCACGAGGTCAAGAGATTGAGACCATCCTGGCCAACATGGTGAAACCCTGTCTCTACAAAAAATACAAAAATTAGCTGGGTGTGGTGGCATGTACCTATAGTCCTAGCTGCTTGGGAGGCTGAGGCAGGAGAATCGCTTGAACCTGGGAGGCAGAGTTTGCAGTGAGCAGAGATTATGCCACTGCACTCCAGCCTGGTGACAGAGCGACAATCTGTCTCAAAAAAAAAAAAAAAAAAAGTCTCTTTATATTTTAAATTGGTACTATATAAGTTACTGTATTCAGTGATGTCAGGATGATGCAGTAAAATGTTTAAATGAAAAATTACTTCAAATATTTGCCTCACTAAACTTTATATTCACAACTACATATGAAATAAGCATTTGGGAAAATTAAAAATATTTCTAAAGATACTGGAATTGAAGTCATGAAACTAGAAAGCATATTTGGGCACTCTGTAATAGTGGGATGCCAAGAGCATTAGGGAATTGTACCAAACCTTTTATATTCACTTTAATAGAAGTTGTGAAATGGGAGTAGTAAGTGTTTAGGACATAAACTTTTTTTCCCAGAAATTTGACGTTAATAACTTATATATTAACAGAGATGTCAATGTTATCTTTATCCTTTCCAGAGGAAATATTAAAAATTACAGAAGCTGGATTAATTGTAGAAAAATAAGAATCAGTTAATATATAAAATTAAATACATAAAGCAAAGGGGAAAAAGTAGATAGTATTGTTTAAAAATATGATATACCATTTGAAAGAAAAATGTCAACTTCAAGAGAAAAAGTCAATTAGATTATCTAATAATTTATGTGATTGCAATTGTAGTTTGATGACAAAAGTAAAATATATTAAGAACTTAAAATTTTTAAATTAAGTCAACCATGAAGGATGTTTACAAAGCTTCATAGATGTAACCTATTAAATCAAGACAATTTTTAATTTAATCAATACAATTAAGCCTACTTATTAAAGATGGCTTTTATTAATTGATTTTTGTGGTGGAGTGAACGGAGATATTAAATAATAAGAATTTCTAGGCCGGGCGCGGTGGCTCATGCCTGTAATCCCAGCACTTTGGGAGGCCGAGGCGGGCAGATCACAAGGTTAGGAGATCGAGACCATCCTGGCTAACATGGTGAAACCCCGTCTCTACTAAAAATACAAAAAATGAGCCAGGCATGGTGGCAGGCGCCTGTAGTCCCAGCTACTCAGGAGGCTGAGGCAGGAGAATGGCGTGAACCCGGGAGGAGGAGCTTGCAGTGAGCTGAGATCGCGCCACCGCACTCCAGCCTGGGCGACAGGAGACTCCGTCTCAAAAAAAAAAAAAGAATTTCTAGGCCAGGCGTGGTGGCTCATGCCTGTAATCCCAGCACTTTGGGAGGCCGAGGCAGGTGGATCATTTGAGGTCAGGAGTTTGAGACCAGCTTGGCCTACGTGGTGAAACCCCCTCTTTACTAAAAATACAAAAAGTAGCTGGGCGTGGTGGCATGTGCCTGCAATCCCAGCTACTCGGGAGGCTGAGGCAGGAGAATTGCTTGAACCGGGGAGGTGGAGGTTGCAGTGAGCCAAGATCGCACCACTGCACTCCAGCCTGGGCGACAGAGTGAGACTGTCTCAAAAAAAGAAAAAAAAAAAAGAAAGAAAAAGAATTTCAGACAGCAGTTCAAGGGCTAAAAAATCTTTAACATAGCTGCTAAAGTGAGAGAGGATTTGGCACCATGAACAATATAGTTGATTACATACGTCATAATATACAAACAATTTAATGGGGAAATTATCAGAAGCTTATACAAGGCTCTTTTGTCAAATCATGGCTAACATAGGCATATATCACTTAACCAATAATTACCACCTAAGAAATGCAAAAAATGTTTAAAAATCAATAAATAATTTGGAAATTGTTATAACTATTTAAGAAATTATTTATATTTCAACTGTGTCACTTGGTAAGTAGTTTTATAATCATTTAGTTAGGACAGAAAAATAGCATAATTGGGAAAATTTTATTTATATATTAATTTCCATTACCATACCAGCTGTCAACTATTTTGAATAGTACTCTTGATCTCACATATAGTTTGCTTGTAGTAAGTATTGATTGAATGGTGTTTGATATAAATGAATGAAGATGACAGTCAGGACACCCAGGACAAGTGAAAGCAGGGCTGAAGGAATGTAAGGGTTGCAGTATTTATTGTCTTTTAGCTGAAATATTTAGAAACAGAAAGGGTAAGCGCACAGAGGAATAGCATAGCAGAAATCATGTGACTTTCTCATGTTAACCCTTCCCCTTGTCCAGACCCTATTTGTCCATATGGGCATCTCCATATAGAGACAAGACTCAGAAGGTTGGATAGCTATACTTCTTTGCCTCTGTTTTCAGGAAGCCAAGTCCTCTGTTCGCTTTGGTTGCCACCACTAACTCAGCGGCTGGGCTGCCCATGTGTAGACAGATGTCTTGAAAATATCAAGTTCCCTAAGCAGCTTGAACTGCAGGGAGGCTCAGAGAGGGTAGATTTCCTGAGCTGCTGACTTACTGCGGGACTGACTCAGTAAGATTCCAGGCACTAGGCAGAGCTAGTTAGGAAAGGAAACGTTTCCTGTTTGCCTCTGTGGGGAAAAAGAACCTACTCTTTGGACAGAGTCACCTGGCTCTAACACCAGAAAGGAAAGCGAGGCGGTGCATCCTCCAGAACAGCAGTAGGCAGGGCCACGGAGCATCCCACAGCCACCAGTGGGGCTGTCCTGCTGTTCTTGCAGTAGTGCCCTGTCTCCCAGAATCTCCCCCTGGTGCTATCTCCACCCTGCCTGAAAGTAGTGAGGAGGATGATGGGGAGAGAGTCAGACAGGCTGGGGTTGGGAAGAGTGAGTGCCCTTGATTTTTCTCTTATCCAAATTCAACTTTCATTTTAGTTTTCCCTCCAATTCCTCAAAGCAAGCATCGCTACTCTTAATTTCTCATATGGAACTACTTAGGGGTGGCAAAAACCTCATGGGACTGGTGGGGCTTCCTGTGCTTTTAATTGAAATGGTTTCTTTGTGGGTTCCCAAAGCTAAATTGTCCTTGCTCACACTGGAAGGAAATAAAGAAAAATAAGTATGATTATTGTACCAAGTAGTGGGATTACAGGTGAGGTTTTTCTTGTTTATTAGAAAATTCTTGGCCAGGCGCGGTGGCTCATGACTGTAATCCCAGCACTTTGGGAGCCGGAGGTGGGCAGATCATGAGGACAGGAGATTGAGACCATCCTGGCTAACACGGTGAAACCTTGTCTCTACTAAAAATACAAAAAATTTTCTGGGCGTGGTGGCATGCACCTGTAATCCCAGCTACTCAGGAGGCTGAGGCAGGAGAATGGCATGAACCCAGGAGGCAGAGTTTGCAGTGAGCAGAGGTTGTGCCATTGCACTCCAGCCTGGGCGACAGTGCGAGACTGTGTCTCAAAAAAAAGAAAAGCAAGAAAATTCTTTCCTTGTTTTTATAGATGTGCAATAAAAACAATTGGGAGAAGAAAGAAGAGTTGACCTGGATTTTCATAATGCAAAGAAAATGGCACCCAAATTCCCACCACAAGGATTTACATGTATTATCCAATTCAATTCATTCAGAATTCCGTGCAGTCAGTCAGATAATTGTTATCCCAGCTTAACTGACAGATGTTAGGAATGAGACTTGAAAGTGCTCAGCCAGGCTGGGTGCGTTGGCTCACGCCTGTAATCCCAGCACTTTGGGAGGCCAAGGTGTGTGGATCACCTGAGGTCGGGAGTTCGAGACCAGCCTGACCAACATGGAGAAACCCCGTCTTTACTAAAGGTACAAAATCAGCCAGGGCGTGATGGCACATGCCTGTAATCCCAGCTACTCCGTAGGCTGAGGCAGGAGAATCGCTTGAATCCAGGAGGCGGAGGTTGCAGTGAGCCAAGATCATGCCACTGCACTCCAGCCTGGGAAACAAGAGCGAAACTCTGTCTCAAAAAAAAAAAAAAAAAAAAAAAAAGTGCTCAACCAGGATCTCATACCAAGTCTGTGGTGGAGTGCCAAGAGCCAAGATGTCCTCTGCAGAAAGAATCACTTGGTTTTTTTTTTTGTTTTTTTTGTTTTTGTATTTTTTGGTGGAGATGGGGTTTCCCCGTGTTGGCAGGGCTGGTCTCCAGCTCCTGACCGCGAGTGATCTGCCCACCTCGGCCTCCCGAGGTGCCGGGATTGCAGACGGAGTCTCGCTCACTCAGTGCTCAATCTTGCCCAGGCTGGAGTGCAGTGGCGTGATCTCGGCTCGCTACAGCCTCCACCTCCTAGCCGCCTGCCTTGGCCTCCCAAAGTGCCGAGATTGCAGCCTCTGCCCGGCCACCACCCCATCTAGGAAGTGAGGAGCGTCTCTGCCCGGCCGCCCATCGTCTGAGATGTGGGGAGCGCCTCTGCCCCGCCGCCCCGTCTGGGATGTGCGGAGCGCCTCTGTCCGGCGGCGACCCCGTCTGGGAACTGAGGAGTGTCTGTGCCCGACCGCCACCCCGTCTGGGAGGTGAGGGGCGTCTCTGCCGGGCCGCCCTGTCTGAGAAGTGAGGAGCCCCTCCGCCCGGCAGCCGCCCCGTCTGGGAAGTGAGGAGCGTCTCTGCCCGGCAGCCGCCCCGTCCAGGAGGTGGGGGGCAGCCCCCGCCCTGCCAGCCGCCCCGTTCGGGAGGTGGGGGGCGCCTCTGCCCGGCCAGTCTGGGAAGTGAGGAGCCCCTCTGCCCGGCCGCCACCCCGTCTGGGAGGTGTACCCAACAGCTCATTGAGAACGGGCCATGATGACGATGGCGGTTTTGTCGAATAGAAAAGGGGGAAATGTGGGGAAAAGAAAGAGAGATCAGATTGTTACTGTGTCTGTGTGGAAAGAGGTGGACATGGGAGACTCCATTTTGTTCTGTACTGGGAGAGGTTCTTCTGCCTTGGGATGCTGTTGATCTATAGCCTTACCCCCAACCCCGTGCTCTCTGAAACATGTGCTGTGTCCACTCAGGGTTAAATGGATTAAGGGCGGTGCAAGATGTGCTTTGTTAAACAGATGCTTGAAGGCAGCATCCTCATTAAGAGTCATCACCGCTCCCTAATCTCAAGTACCCAGGGACACAAACACTGCAGAAGGCCGCAGGGTCCTCTGCCTAGGAAAACCAGAGACCTTTGTTCACATGTTTATCTGCTGACCTTCCCTCCACTATTGTCCTATGACCCTGCTAAATCCCCCTCTCCGAGAAACACTCAAGAATGATCAATAAATACTAAAAAAAAAAAAAAAAAAAAGAATCACGTGTACTGGTTGAAACAGCACCAATAAACAATTTAGGCTCTGAGTTGGACACAGTTTGGTAAATACATGTTCTACAATGTTCCATAGTCTTTCAGTGTCCCATGGGATATTTGTTCCCCCATAGAAAGCATAGGTAGAGGTCCTTTACATACCCTGCAGGGACGCTGATTTGCATGGGGAGGGCTGGCACACAGCCTCTGCTGGGTATGAACAGTACAAACCTCTGGAGGCTGTGCTCTGTTCAGGACTTGGAGCTGGTTGGGGACCTCCAATGCCCTGTGCTGACGGCTGGCCTGGGGGCTTCTCCTCACTAGGGTCTTCTCTCAGTCTCTCAAGGTGGGCACAGTCTCTCCTGGACACACAGGCAATGGGCTGGACAAGCATCTCTTTCCTCTAAGGCCCAGTCACCAGGTATTCCCTCCAGGGGACCGGGTTTGGAAATTTTCACTACATATAACAGCCCTTCTGTTGCCTCATATTTTCTAACTCTGGCGTGGTGGTTCCCAGTCTCTTTACCACTGAGGAAGCATAGGTGATTTCTTCCCTCCCTCTGTTTCAAAATGGTTTTAACTACCAAACAAAATCCTCTAAGTGATCATTTGCCTTTCTTTCTTTCTTCCTTTCTTCCTTTCTTTCCTTCTTTCCTTCTTTCCTTTCTTTCTCTCTCTCTTTCTTTCTTTCTCTCTCCTTCCTTCCTTCCTCCCTCCCTCCCTCTCTCTCTTTCTTTCTTTTCGAAGCGCAGTTTCGCTCTTCTTGCTCAGGCTGGAGTGCAATGGTGTGATCTTGGCTCACTGCACAACCTCAGCCTCCTGGGTTCAAGCGATTCTCCTGCCTCAGCCTCCTGAGTAGCTAGGATTACAGGCATGCGCCACCACGCCCAGCTAATTTTTTATTTTTAGTAGAGACAGGGTTTCTCCGTGTTGGTCAGGCTGGTCTTGAACTCCCAACCTCAGGTGATCAACCCGCCTCAGCCTCCCAAAGTGCTGGGATTACAGGCGTGAGCCACCGCGCCCAGGCTTCATTTGCTTTCTTATACTGTTCATCAAGATATATTTAAGGTCATCATGAAGACAAGGTTACATCATTTACAATATATGGAAGTAAGTCCCAGCCCCCGTTAAGATCCTAGTCTGGGCTAGCTGGCTGAGAGGGGCTGTTAAAACTCTAGTAATAGGAATAGCTGTCTCCCTGTCATTCTGCTGCTATGGCAGATGCTTTTTTCCTCTAGGACCACTGACTTCTGGAGATCTATGATTCATAACCTTGTGGCTAGAAATGAGATGTCAAAAGAGGACAAGATCACTCGGGTTCCTCCTTCCCTTGGGTTCCCTCTCCTGGGCCAATTAAGAACAGGCACATGGAGAAAAGAACCCAGAATTATCCCATAATCACACAAAGATCTGTTCACATACAATGGCCCAAGGAGGCAGGGCCTGCCCATGAGTCACCATTATCTACATAATGCAGCCTAACTATCCTGTTTTGCTTTTAGCTATTCAAGACTTTTCCGACCATGGGGAAGTCCCATGGCATGGGCTGTTTTCCCAACAGTATCTTGACTGAATCACTGAGTGTCATGCCAGAGGAGTGGGACCTGGTTGACCCCTCTTCCCTGGTGTCCAGGTGCCCAGGAACCCCTATGTGGTAGTGGGATCCAGATCTAAGAAAGCACAGCTCTTGTGTGGCCTCATGGGGAGTACATGCCTCACTGGGCTGGTTCTAAATTGTTCCAGGGTCAAGCCAGGAGGCATAAAGAACCTGCTCTTTCATCTTCCAACATTTTTTTTTGGTAATAACCCAATTCCCTGATTAAAACATCTACAGTGGTGTCTTACATTTTTCAAAGCATAACTCAAACATTTTTTCCTTTAGAAAAACCTAAGTCTCCTAAAACAGGGGTTCCCAAGCCCTGGGCCATGGACTGGTACCGGTCCATGGCCTGTTAGGAACTGGGCTGCACAGCAGGAGGTGAGTGGCAGGTGACCAAGCATTAGCGCCTGAGCTCTGCCTCCTGTCAGATCAGCAGTGGGGTTAGATTCTCATAGGAGTGTGAATCTTATTGTGAACTGTGCATGCGAGGGATCTAGGTTGCTCGCTCCTATGAGAATCTAATGCCTGATGACCTGTCAGTGTCTCCCATCACCCTCAGATGGGACTGTCTAGTTGCAGGAAAACAAGCTCAGGGCTCCTACTGACTCTACATTATGGTGAGTTGTATAATTATTTCATTATGTATTATAATGTAATAATAGAAATAAAGTCCACAATACAGGTAACGCGCTTGAATCATCCCAAAACCACCCCTCCGAAAAATTGTCTTCCATGAAACCGGTCCCTGATGCCAAAAATGTTGGGAACCACTGTCCTAGAAAACATAGTTTCCTCCTTGACTTTTGGCATTTTGTACGTTTCTTTCAGCGCTAACCACAATAGTTATCTTCAAGTCTGTTTATTCATTGTTACTAAATCTTAGATTCCTTCAGCGCAGGAACCTTTCTCGCCCCCTAGTCCCACCCTGGACCTCACAACATTCTTTGAACACAGGAAGGGTTCGATAAATATTTGTTAAAGATCCCTTGGAGTCTGGCTTAAAAAGATTTAAGATCTAAAACTGAGGAAGGCAGATCTTTGAGGTGAGGCAAACATAGCCTGCCGATATGGCAGGAAGTAGAAATGGGCAGACCAAGTAGAGAAGGAAAATAGTTCATCTTTCTGGGACACTAATAAGGAGTAGTATATAGGAGTGGGATAAAAAGTAGGATATAGGAGTCCAAATTTCCATCAAATCTATAGATTGATTTTCTTTGCATTAATTAAGACTTCTGGTGGAACGTGGTGGCTCATGCCTATAATCCCAGCACTTTGGGAGGCCAAGGTGGGTGGATCACCTGAGATCAGGAGTTCGAGACCAGCTGGCCAACATGATGAAACTCTGTCTCTACTAAAAATACAAAAATTAGCTGGGCGTGGTAGCAGGCGCCTGTAATCCCAGCTACTTGGGAGGCTGAAGCAGGAGAATCACTTAAACCTGGGAGGCCAAGTTTGCAGTGAGCCAAGGTCATGCCATTGCACTCTAGCCTGGGTGACAAGAGTGAAACTCAGTCTCAAAAAAAAAAAAAAAAAAAAGACTTATTTGTTGTTGCTAAAATGCAAAGATTCTGGGCTTATGAAGAAACTAATACTCCAGTAGGAATGCTTGAAATAAAAATATCTACCACTAACTGAAACCTAAGTATCAGGTTGCCCATCTTGTGTTGCTGTAATATAATACGCAGACTGAGTAATTTATAAAGCAAAGCAGCCTATTTCATGGTTCTGGAGGATAAGAAGTCTAATATCAAGATCCCGGCATTTGGTGAGTCTTTTTGCTGTATCATCTCTTGGTAAAGGCAAGTGGGTGAGTGAGGGCAAGAGGTTGAACTTGCCTCAACCTCAAGCCCTTTTATAATCAGTATTAATCCATTCATAAAGTTGGAACCTCCATGGCCAGCCAGCCATTAGGATTCACTTCCCGATATGGTTGCATTGTGGATTCAGTTTCCAACACACGCTTTTTGGAGGACACATTCAAACCACAGTACAGGTACTTTATATTAGCTTTATAATGACTCTCCCAAGAAAACAGTGCCACGTACAAGATGAGGAACTGGAGCTCAGACAGGTGAAGCCCCACCGCGTGTCACACAGGAAGAAATGGCAAAGTAAAAATTCACACCCAGGACTCCCTGGGCTTTCTCACCGCACATGTTGCCTTCTTACTGGATATCACCTGACAGAATGAGACTCAGGTGATTACAGGGATTCACCAGGAAAACGGGAAAGTCGGCATGACCAGAACTAGAACACGGGCCAGTGAATGCAGTTCTGGGTGGACCATGGCATTGGAAGCCAAAGGATAGCTTGAATGTGGTTAAAAAATTAAAACAACAAGGCACAAAACGCACAAATGAAATACAAATGATGCTCAAACACAGCTTTTATTTTACTTCAAAGTTTACCTCAGATCAGCCTGGGAAGGTGAGGGGAATGAAGCAGATGCTGTTAAAGGGTCATGGGAGAGAAAAGGTATCTGTGGGAAGAGAATAATCTCTTTTGACTTCGTGTGCTGCCTCACGGACACACTGGAGCAGGGATTGGGCCCCCAAGGCCTCAGGTAGCCCCGTGCCTGTGGCTTTGCTGGGTGCAGCCTACGTGGCTGCTCGAATGGGTTGCAGGCTGGTGCCTAAAGCTTTCCCAAGGGGGCGCTGCATGCTGCCACTGACTCCACAGTTCTGGGGTCCTGGTGGTGGTCAGGTCCTGCTCCCAGCGCTCCACAAGGCACTCTCTCCTGTGGCCTGGATCCACTAGACACTAGACATTTCCCTGGTGGGGGCCCTCTGTGGCAGCTGCACCTCACATTTCCACTTAGCATCACTCTAGTGGAGGCTCTCTGTGGGCTGGGCATGCTAGCTCAGTTCTCTTTTCCTCTTCTTATAAAGCCACCAGTCCCATTCCTGTGATAACCCATTAATCCATTAACCCATGAATGAAGGCACAGCCTTACGATCCAATCACATCTCAAAGGCCCCACCTTTCAGTATTGCCACATTAGGGATTAAGTCTCAACATGAGTGTTGGAGGGAACATTCAAACCACAGCAGTATGAAAACAATATTCAACTCCAAGGTATATGGTCAAGATTACAGGTGGTAAGGAATAGGCTAGAGAATAGGAATAGGCTAAATTTGCTAGAGATGTGCTGTGGAATTATCTGTATTTCTAGCTATGATCTTAGCTTCCTCAAGTCCATTTCATTGCAAGAATATGAAAAATTAAATTGAGATCCAGGTTCTTTTTTTATTTTTTAATTTTTATTTTTTGAGATGGCGTTTCACCCTGTCACCCAGGCTGGAGTGCAGTCGCACAATCCTGGCTCACTGCAACCTCCGCCTCCCGGGTTGACGCCATTCTCCTGCCTCCGCCTCCTGAGTAGCTGGGACTACAGGCCCGTGCCTCTGCGCCCAGCTAATTTTTTGTATTTTTTAGTAGAGACGGGGTTTCACCGTGTTAGCCAGGATGGTTTCGATCTCCTGACCTCGTGATCTGCCCTCCTCGGCCTCCCTAAGTGCTGGGATTACAGGCATGAGCTGCCGCACTCTGCCCAGGTTCTTATTTTTAATAGAAAAGAGAACAGGGAAGGAACACAGGTCAGTGTGAGGAAGGGGGTCATGGTAGACACAGAGGTGGACTGTTTCTCTACCTCCTCACATTGTGCTAACAGGGACACAGACAGATTCAGAGGCCCTTGCAAAAAGAGAAGCCAGAGTCCCCTAAGACACATAGGGGAGGCGTGAGGAAATCCTGCATCTCAGTCGCACACAAGGCAGCTGTGCATCTCAGTCGCACACAAGGCAGCTGTCTCAGGCTACAGAAGAAAATAGTCATGAACAAATTCAGGTCAGTCACGGTAAGTGATGACACTCTGAACAGCCCACCACACACTCAAAAATTCTGAATCAAAAAATCCCCACAACCCAGTCCTGTCCCCTCTGCCCCACCCTCCACCCACTTCAGACCCCCAGAATCTCACCTTTACAAGCTGTGAGACTCAGACCCCTGGGCACTGTCGCTCCCTGGGGTAGAACAAAAACAAGACCTGGTCAGAGCCCACAGGAGATGTGGTGCAGGAGGAATTATAGGGTGGGCGAGCTCCTCCACGCTCCCGCCCCGCACTTACACTCAGCCTTAGAGTAGCTCCCTCCTTTTCCACCTGTTGGAAGAAAATGTCCTGTGAGGGGCCAGGGAGGAGGCAGGGCCATAAGGTCCTAGAGGAACCTCCTAGTTTTGGATCCCAGAGAAGTTTCCTGAACTGTGACTGCAGACCCAGGGCAGGATCAGGAAACGTGAAGAAAGCAGGTGTGGGTCCTGGATCAACTGCCCTTCTGAGGTCTGTCTTCAGCAGGGACCTTCCCCTGTGACCTGTGACTGCTGGGATCAGGTCCCCATCACCACAATCGTCAAGGTGATAAATCTGTCCTTCATTGTCACAGGTGCTTTACAAAAGAGTAGGTGCGGCTGGGTGCGGTGGCTCACGACTGTAATCCCAGCACTTTGGGAGGCCGAGGCAGGCAGATCACAAAGTCAGGAGTTCGAGACCAGCCTGGCCAACATAGTGAAACCCCATCTCCACTAAAAATACAAAAAAAAAAATTAGCCAGGTGTGGTGGCACGCATGTGTAGTCCCAGCTACTAGGGAGGCTGAGGCAGGAGAATTGCTTGAACCTGGGAGGCGGAGGTTGCAGTGAGCTGAAACCACGCCATTGCACTCCAGCCTGGGTGACAGAGCCAAGACTCCGTCTCAAAAAAAAAGAGTAGGTGCTGGCACACAGGGCCCCAGGCTGGGTAGGCTCGTGTGTGTGGATGGTGCTTCCCAGTAACGAGGCAGGACACACTTTTACCTAGGGCTTGAAACACCCAGTGGGACAAGAAAACTCAGACCCCACCCTTCTCCCTTCCCCACCTGAGCTCTTCTTCCTCCATATCACAGCAGCAACCACAGCTCCAGAGACCACAGATCCAAGGAGAACCAGGCCAGCAATGATGCCCACGATGGGGATGGTGGGCTGGGAAGCCGGCTCTGGGAAAAGAGGGGAACGTAAGGGGCCCTGACCCCCAGGCCTCAGCCCTGACCCTGCGGAAGGGCTCCAGAAGGGCTCCCGCTTTCCCTGAGAAGAGACATGACCTCCCATCCCCCTCCTTACTCCATCTCAGGGTGACGGGCTCGGGTAGCCCCTCATGCTGCACATGGCACGTGTATCTCTGCTCCTCTCCAGAAGGCACCACCACAGCTGCCCACTTCTGGAAGGTTCCATCCCCTGCAGGCCTGGTCTCCACGAGCTCCGTGTCCTGGGTATGGCCCTCCCCATCCTGCTGCCAGGTCAGTGTGATCTCCGCAGGGTAGAAGCCCAGGGCCCAGCACCTCAGGGTGGCCTCATGGTCAGAGATGGGGTGGTGAGTCACGTGTGTCTTTGGGGGCTCTGAGGGGAAGAGTCAGAAAATTCAGGCACTTTGTATCTCTCATGGGACACTCCAGCAGCACCCATGTGACCATCCTGAGAAGGAAGAGGACAATTATAGTAGGAGAAGAGGACAAAACCTTGACACCAGCCTGGACTTAGGGATCTGGGATAGCCTCTTATTCCTTGGAAAGTTCTAGAATCGGGATGAGCTAGCCCAGGGTAGAAGGTGAAAAGGGATTTCTGGTCCTGGCCTGTGTGGATGCTGAGTGACTGAGAAAAGCTGGAGTCAGACCTCCAAAAACTCTTGGTGTGGGGCTGAGAATCAGGCACGAGAGAAACTCCCCCGTGATTCCTAATACTGGGAGTCAAAGAGAACTGCTCATCAGTTCATCTGAAGGATGGAATCTCCAGCGAGACTAGATTCCTTAATTGCCCCTGAGAGAGGTCTGGCCCTTTAAGAGAGTCACTCTGTGGTATAGGATCTCCTGTACCTCAGGTGACAGCTCCCTCTCCTGATCCAAGGGAGGAGTGGTATTCTGGCCTCCATCCCTGTTTCTTCTACTGTTTGAGGTCTGTCAGCTGTGGGCACAGTCCTAGCCCAAGAAGGAGATGGGAGAGTAGCCCTGTGGACCCTCTTACCCAGGTGAAGCAGCGTCTCCTTCCCCTTCTCCAGGTATTTGTGGAGCCACTCCACGCATGTGTCTTCCAGGTAGGCTCTCTGGTGCTCCGCCTCAGAGGCATCATTTGACTTTTGCTCGGAGATCTGAGCCGCCGTGTCCACCGCGGTCCAGGAGCGCAGGTCCTCATTCAGGGTGAGATAATCCTTGCCGTCGTAGGCGAACTGTTCATACCCGCGGAGGAAGCGCCTGTCGGGCCCCAGCTCGCAGCCATGCATCCACTGCAGGGTGTGAGACCCTGGCCCCGCCCCTTAGTCAGTCCCGCCCACCAAGCCCCGCCCCCGTCGCCACCACCCTGTGGGCATTTTGGCCTAAACTGAAAAAGAACCGGGTAAAGGCGCCTGAGACTCTCCCCGGTCTAGGGTCTGGGCGGGTTCCGCAGCCTTGGGGTGAATCTGGGACCCGAAGATTCGAGGGGACCCGCGCCGTCCGTGGGGGATGGGGAGGGGTCGTGACCTGCTCCCCTGGCCGGGGTCACTCACCGGCCTCGCTCTGATTGTAGTAGCCGCGCAGCGTCCGCAGGTTCACTCGGAAAATCTGTGCGGTGTCCCTGGCGCTCCGTGTCTCCCGGTCCCAATACTCTGACCCCTCCTGCTCCATCCACGGCGCCCGCGGCACCATCCTCGGACTCGCGGCGTCGTTGTCGAAGCGCACGAACTGGGTGTCGTCCACGTAGCCCACAGAGATGAAGCGGGGCTCCCCGCGGCCGGGCCGGGACACGGAAGTGTGGAAATACTTCAAGGAGTGGGAGCCTGGGGGCGAGGAGGGGCTGAGATCGGCCCGACCCTCCTCCCGGCGCGGCTCCCCGAGTCCTTCGCCCCCGCCGGGCCGGCCCCTCTCTACTCCCGGTAGAGGCCGTTTCCATCCCGACCCCGCACTCACCCGCCCAGGTCTGGGTAAGGGCCAGGGCCTCCGAGAGGAGTAAAAGGAGGGTTCCATCTACCATGATCCCAGCCTCTGAGTCCTGAGAACTTCTTGAGTCCGGATGGGGACTTTATAGTCGGGAGTCGTGGCGACGCTGATTGGCTTCTCTAGAAACCCGACACCCATTGGGAATGAGAACTGAGTCTGCGTCATGAGTATCCAGGAAGAAGGACACATGACCAGGTTACGAGAGGAACGGGAAACTGCAGAGTTTCCCAGCAATCAGCAGTTCTTAAACTTTTAGGTTTCGGTATCTCTGCACACTCTTAGAAATTAGTCCTGGCTGGGCGCGGTGGCTCACGCCTGTAATCTCAGCACTTTGGGAGGCCAAGGCGGGCTGATCACCTGAGGTTGGGAGTTCGAGACCAGCCCGACCAATATGGAGAAACCCTGTCTCTACTAAAAGTCCAAAAAATTAGCCGGCGTGGTGGCGCATGGCTGTAATCCTGGCTACTTGGGAGGCTGAGGCAGGAGAATCACTTGAACCCAGGAGGAGGAGGTTGCGGTGAGCCAAGATCGTGCCATTGCCCTCCAGCCTGGGCAACAAGAAAAAAGAAATTAGTGAGGACCCAAATAAATTTTGTTTCTGTGGATTGTATCAATTTTTATCATATATAAATTAAAAGATATTAAAACAAAATATTAAAAATATTAATTCATTTAAGAGAATATTAATAACCCATTACATGTTAATAGAAACAACTTTTTTTTTTTTTTGAGTCAGAGTCTTGCTCTGTCCCCAGGCTGGAGTGCAGTGGCATGATCTCGGCTCACTGCAACCTCCTTCTCCCGGGTTCAAGCGATTCTCCTGCCTCAGCCTCCCCAGTAACTGGAACTACAGGCGTGTGCCACCACACCCAGCTAATTTTTGTGTTTTTAGTAGAGACGGGGTTTCACCATGTTGGCCAGGATGGTCTTGATCTCTTGATCGGAAATAACATATCTTTAATGAAAAAAAACTTAATTTTTAATTTTTCCAAAATAAACAACGTATAGGCCGGGAACGGTGGCTCACGCCTGTAATCGCAGCATTTTGGTAGGCCGAGGCAGGCAGATCACGAGGTCAGGAGTTCAAGACTAACCTGGCCAACATGATGAAACCCTGTCTCTACTAACAATACAAAAATTAGCCGGGTGTGGTGGTGCGCGCCTGTAATTCCAGCAACTCTGGAGGCTGAGATAGGAGAATTGCTTGAACCCGAGAGGTGGTGGTTGCAGTGAGCCGAGATCACACCACTGCACTCCAGCCTGGGCGACAGAGTGAGATGTCTAGGGGGAAAAAACAAGAAACAAAAAACAAAAACAAAAACAAAAAAACAGGATCTGCTTCAAGAAGTTGCCTTTGTAGTCAAACCAGCTGAGACTCGTTACAACCAAGAGAGCCGGCCAAATGACTTCAAAAAGACCTCATGCTTCATTGTAATCCCGTTTCCAGGCTAAATTGCGCTCCCATCCATGCCATGACAGTTGACGATCTCCATGACGATGAGTAGAAGAAGTCCTAAAAGGACCAAAAGGAAAGCGGTATTACCAGTTTGGAGAAGTTCACTGCCTGTTCCCATAAAACATATGAATATTCCTCCCCCTCACTTTTAATGCCCAACCCCTTCATTAGAGCAATCCTACATTTTAGCCCCCTCACCCCTCACTAGCCGCCTCACTAGTGGAGAAGTTGACTTGGCAGAGCTGCTCTCCTCTTTACAAGTCCTGTGCAGGAAATAAAGCTTGCTCTGCTTAAGGCTCACTTTTGGTTTCATGTATTGGCTCTGCGACTCCCAGTGAGGAAAGATCCCACCTTCTGCAGCTACCAAGATTTTTGGTAACAAGAAGAGTGATTATTTTTCATTTTCATAAGTGTTGTTCTTGCAAAATTTTGCAAGCATCATTCTTGGCTCATAGCATACATTCTCTTATGTACTTATTTTTAAATTTTTAACTTTTATTTTAGATACAGGGGGTGGCCAGGCGCGGTGGCTCACGCCTGTAATCCCAGTCGGGAGTTCGAGACCAGCCTTATCAATATGGAGAAACCCCATGTCTACTAAAAATACAAAATTAGCTGGAGGTGGTGGCGCATACCTGTAATCCCACCTACTCAGGAGGCTGAGGCAGGAGAATCGCTTGAACCCGGGAGGCAGAGGTTGCGATGAGCCGAGATCACGCCATTGCGCTCCAGCCTGAGCAACAAGAGTGAAATTGTCTCAAAAAAAAAAAAAAAAACCAGAAAAAAATAGATACAGGGGTTACATGTGCCGGTTTGTTACATGGGTATGTTGTCTGATGCTGAGGTTTGGGGTATGGATCCTGTCACTCAGGTAGTGAACATAGTACCCACAGGTAGTTTTTCAACCCACGTCCCCACCCTCTCCACTCTAGTCGTCTACAGTGTCTGTTATACACATGTTTATGTCTATGTGTGCTCAGTGTTTAGCTCCCAATTATAAGTGAGAAGATGCAGTATTTGGTTTTCTGTTCCTGCATTAATTCACTTAGGATTATGGCCTCCAGCTGCATCCCAGCCATTTTCTTACTTTGATTGAAGTGTATATGTTAAAAAATCTAGCCTTACACAAATATTGAGTTGAAAAAGGAAGGATTTTTTGTTTTTAGATATTTGAAATACAACTTTATTCTGATTCTAAACGAAAAGGAATGGGAATGACAGTAACAAACAAGATTTCACCGCTGAATATTGTGATGTGACTGTAGCAGTCTATATTTGAAACTCAAGGAATCAACTGTGTTCCAAAACAGCTAAATATGCAGGTCCAAACAATGAAGGTATTTTTTGAACTGCCACATTCACTGCGAAGCCCACTCATCTCCTTCAGCATCCCACAGATGAAGCACATGTTCCGCTTAGCTAGATAATAATGAGGTGGCACACACGCTGCACAACTGACATCACAGGACAGCTGCCTATAAAACTAGACTTCTGACGCTGGGCTCCAGCTTCATTCTCACAGGTCATCATCCTCGTCCGGGAGAGCAGTTGTCTGAGCAACCTCTAAGTCGTGCTCATACTGTGCTGCCAAAGCTGGGTCCATGACAACTTCTGGTGGGGCGAGAGCAGGCATGGCAACAAATTCCAAGTTAGGGTCTCCAATGAGCTTCCTAGCAAGCCAGAGGAAGGGCTTTTCAAAGTTATAGTTACTTTTGGCAGAAATGTCGTAGTACTGAAGATTCTTCTTTCGGTGGAAGACAATGGATTTCGCCTTCACTTTCCTGTCCTTAATATCCACTTTGTTGCCACTCAACACAGTGGGGGTGTTTTCACACACTCATACCAGATCTCTATGCCAGTTAGGCACATTCTTGTAAGTAACTCTCGATGTTACATCAAACACTATGATGGTACTCTGGGCTTGGATATAATAGCCATCTCTCAGTCCACTGAATTTCTCCAGGCCGGCTGTGTCCCATACATTGAACTTAACAGGTCCTCTGTTGGTATGGAACACTAGGGGATGAACCTCAACACCCAAGGTGGCTACATACTTCTTCTCAAATTCACCAGTCAAATGATGTTTCACGAAAGGCGTTTTTCCAGTACCACCATCACCAACCAATACAAGTTTGAACTGGACCTGGGGCTGTCCCTGCGCAGCCATTGCGGTGTTCCTTCCAGAAGCGTCTCCATGCCCGTCTGACTCAGGAAGGAAGGATTATTATTGCTGTTGTTTAGAGACAGGGTCTCGCTCTGTCACCCAGGCTGGAGTGCAGTGGCACCATAATAGCTCACTGCAGCCTAGAACTCCTGGGCTCAAGGGATTCTCTCACCTCAGCCTTCCCAGTAGCTGGAACAACATGTGTGAGCTACCATGCCCGGACTGGGAGGATTATTTTTAACAGCTTTTCATGTAATTGTGGATATTCATATTTCACATTACATAAAAACTGTGCAAGTGGTGATTTCTTTTTTTTTGAAAGCAAATAATCCATTTTTAATCCTTTTAAATTTTATTTATTTAAAACATTTTTAAATTTCAATAGTTTTGGGGGAACAGGTGGTGTTTGTTTACATGGATAAGTTCTTTAGTGGTGATTTCCAAGATTTTGGCGCATCCAGCACCTGATTAGTGTACACTGTACACAATGTGTAGTCTTGTATCCCTCAGCTCCCTCCCACCCTTCCCCCGCCAGTTCCCAAAGTCCATTGTATCATTCTTAAGCCTTTGTGTTCTCATAGCTTAGCTCCCATTTATAAGTGAGAACATAAAATGCTTGGTTTTCCATTCCGGAGTTAATTCACTCAGAATAATGGTCTCCAGCTCCATCCAGGTTGCTTTGAATGCCATTATTTCCTTTCTTTTTATGACTGTGTAGTATTCCATTATATATCTATATATCTATATATAGATATATCTATATATAGATATAGATATATATAAAATTACATTTTCTTTATCCATTCATTGATTGATGGGCATTTGGGCTGGTTCCATATTTTTGCAATCACCAATTGTGCTGCTATCAATATGCTTGTTCAAGTATCTTCTTCTTTTTTCTTTTCTTTTCTTTTCTTTTTTTTTTTTGAGACGGAGTCTCGCTCTGTCACCCAGGCTGGAGTGCAGTGGCGTGATCCCGGCTCACTGCCACCTCCACCTCCTGGTTGACGCCATTCTCCTGCCTCAGCCTCCTGAGTAGCTGGGACCACAGGCACCTGCCACCACGCCCGGCTAATTTTTTGTATTTTTAGTAAAGACGGGGTTTCATCGTGTTAGCCAGGATGGTCTCGATCTCCTGACCTCGTGATCTGCCTGCCTCAGCCTCCCAAAGTGCTGGGATTACAGGCGTGAGCTATGGTGCCCGGCCATTAAGGGGATAAGTTTTAACAGTCCAGGTTCAAGGGTAGTGGAAGCTGAGGAATTGGAGGGAAAGGTAATTCAGCCAAAGGTGGATACAGAAGAACAGAGGAAAGAGAACAGGAAATCTCTCCTCTGGAGAGGAAAGAATCTGGGGCCCTAAAGCCTTGTTGTCCTTCCTTAACTGTTTGCTGGTCTCAGTTAATTTTGTGATAGAATCTTAGAGGGAGGCAATGTTTGAATCCCGAATGCATTATGAAACTTTGAAGTACCAAGTAAACTAAGCCTCCCATTCACATTGTTTAATTTTAGGACCATGGTCTTCTAGTTTTGTTTTAAGGAAGACAAGTTTGGGGAACTCAAAAGGCCCCAAGGATGGCCATTGAAGATCCAAATTAACTTTGGCGTACTCTACCCATTGATTTCAAAACGTACACAGGAGAGGACCTTAATTTTTTTTTCTTTCCTTATTTATTTTAATTTTTTAAAATAGAGATGAGCTCTTGCTATGTTGCCCAGGATGGTTTCAAACTCATGAGCTCAAGTGATCCTTCCACCTTGGTCTCCCAAGGTGCTGGGATTATAGGCATGAGCCACCGACCATAAATTTTGACCATATAGCTGACAGGAGTCCCAGAAGACGGCCTATATTGGATGCTTTGGAATTTTGGCATCCTGTTCTGCCTCTTATTAATTTCTCGACAGCAAAAGAAAAATTCCATAATCCCTGTGAGGAAATGGTAGAGGCTGGAGCGATTTGTTTTTTAATAGTGTGCCTAGTATAGGATTTTTGTTTTTACTTAGTGGGCAGCCTGTGATCTAATTGTCCATCCTGTGACCATTTTCTCCAGATTTTTCTTGAGACTGGTGCGACCCCTAATGGCAATTTTGTTTATTCATGTACCAGTTTATCCTGACAACAGATAATTTCTCTTTGGGGAGACTGAAGTTTCTCATTGAATGGCGACAATAGCCCAAACAGCTTTTAAAGGGTCGACACATACCCATCTTTTTAGAAAGTAAATTTTGCTCTCAAAAGATGTTCAGAAACAGAGGCAAGAAATCAAGCAATGAACTCAGCATAAGTCTCTTCCAAAGGTAATCTTTCTTCAGGATCACTTCTGATACCAGATTTTTCAACCTAAAAAAAAAAAAGACATTAAAGAAATGTCCAAATATGTTGAGTTTATTTGGGAATTAGAATGAGGATTGTAACCTGGGGTGCACTGGTGGATTGCCACTCTGGGAAATATTAGCTTAGCCAGATGTAGTGGGTTGAATGGTTGTCCCCACAAAGATATGTTTCTGTCCTAGTCCCCAGAAGCTGTGAATTTCAAGTTGTTTGGAAAAAAAGGGTCTTTGCAGATGTAATTAAGCTGAGGATATTGAAATGAGGAGATCCTCCTGGATGACCTAGGTGGGCCCTAAATCCAATGAAAAGTGTCTTCCTAACAGGTACACAGAAGAGAGAGTCAGAAGAGGAGAAGGCAATGTGAAGAAGGAGGCAGAGACTGGAGCAATGGGGCTACAAGCCAAAGAACGCTGACCAATGCCCTGGGCCTCCAGAACTGTGAAAGAATAATTTTCTGTTGTTGTAAGTTGCCAACTTTGAGGGCATTTTTGTGGCAGCTACAGGAAGTAAAAATATGGATGGTCAACTTCAACATCAACAGTGGTACATCAAATTGATATAATCTTGATAATGTGTTTGGAGAACAGCACTTCACCTCATCTAAACATCCATAACCATAGTCTAACCATGATCTACACCCCAACTAAATTCAGTTTGAGGGACATTTTACAATATATCTGGTCAGTACTTCCCGATATTGTGAAAGGCATCAAAAATTAGGAAAATCTCAGGAATTGTCACAGACCAGAGGATGCCGTGGAGGCACGACGGAGACTAAATGTAGTGTGATATTCTCCATGGAATCCTGAAACACAGAAAGGACATTAGGGGAACGCTAATGAACTCCAAATAAAGTCTGCAGTTTAGTAATAATAAGGTATGAAAATGGCTTCATTAGCTGTGACAAATGGACCATAGTAATGAGAGATGTTAACATCAGGGGAAACTGACTGTGGAGCGGATGGCAACTCTGTACTACCATTGCAACTTTTATGTAAATTTAAAACTCTTCTAAAATAAAATTATCTAAAAGTAGCAGTCACGAAAGGATTAAGGAGTGGAAGAAAAAAATGATCAACTTTCCATTTTCCTGGAGTGTTGCCATGAAAAGGCTGGAGGGAGGGTTTGCAAGGAGGAGTTGGAAACCTCAGAGACAGGCAGCTCCAGAGCCCTCCTCTGTTCCGCAGAGCCGGAACCCCGCGCAGTCCAGGGCTTCTCAGAAGGCCTTTCCACCCCCTGGACAACCCCAGCCCCACCTCATTGATACATCCTTTCTGGATCAACAATCTGTGTCTTACTCAGACCACCGCCCCGTCCTCTCCAGAGCAGCTCATCAGAACCCAAGCGTAGAGCGGCAGCGGCCCCGTGTGGCCGAAGGACTGAGGAGAGACACCCAGCTCTCCTGTCCCTTCCCCATCTGGGACCTCCCCAGGTTCCCCTTCGGATCTCGGCAGAACAGGGCTCTGTGCACATGCGGGCGACCCCGTCCCGCGACAGGTGTTTCCTCCCAGTTAGTGGCAGTGGACTCTGACCTCAAGGCAGAGGGAGGTCTGCAGGCCCTAAGACCTGGTTCCCAGGTCTGGGTGGACCCCACAGACATACTGTGCTCCCAGTACGCAGCCTCTCAGTGTTTTTGGAATGAGGCCTTGGACTCCTGAGTCCCTGAAATTTGTTCTGCTGCTTCCAGAGAGGAAGATCCCTCCTCCCCGGAATCCCCTAGATGAGTCTCCAGCCCCAGCACGTTGGGACCCGGGAAGGACATGGCATCGGAGCTGGAGACTATATTGGGTTACAAGGATTTCTGGAATCAGACTGGGCTGAGCATTTGTCCCCAATCCATCGGGAACCCGAGGGCGGTTCCTCCGCCACTACCCGGACCTCCAGGACCCAGGCATCTGAACCTATATCCTATTGGATCCTGGAGGGCGGCCCCTCCCCAGCCTTGAGAGTCCAGGATTCTGGCCCCACCCGAACCCTGAGAGTCCAGGACCCTGGCATCCGGCCTCTTCTTCCCATTTGCAACCTAAGCAGACAGGACCTGCTGTCTATATCCCTTAATCCTGGCCCCCTGCCATCTCCAATCCCTGCTTAAAGGTCCTTGATTCTGGACTCAAATCTAATTTCTGGTCTTGTCGATTGTCCATCACGGTCGCCCACCAGGAGAGGCTCCCCAGCGCGAAACGTGCTGCAGCTGAGCGACAGCGGCGGATTTTGGCGCTTTGGCCCAGACTCCCTGCCCGAAGCGCCCCGGGACTCCGCCCTGGAGACTGCGCCCTGGAGGCTCCGTAGGGGTCTGTCTTCCTCTGCGGCAGGAGGGGGCGCACGGGGATTTCTGCCACTGAAGCTGCGCTCACCACCCTGGGTAAGCCTCTCCCCACCGCTCCCCTGTGGACCTCAAAAATCATATATTGGGAAAATACCGACCTGTCAGCCCCAGACTCAACTTTAAGAGGTTCTGGTCTCTAGATTTATTCAGCCCCTAACTGTTGGTTGAGCATCTACTTTTCGTCAGGCGCTATTCTAGGCGCTTGGGTCAAATCCAAACAGGCACAAATCATGGCTCTCAAGGAATTTACCTTCGGTTGAAAGACGTGGCCAATAAAAAGTCACTGAAGTCAACTACAGGGGTGTCCGAAAATAAAGGATGATTAAGAGAAAAGCAAGGCACGGAAGATGAAAGGAGCCAGGTGCAATTTGAAGTTATTATCATGAGAGTGAGAGTTCCCGAGAGGTGCCATGCGAGCTGAGTCCTGAAGCAGATGAAGGAGGAAGCCCTGGGTTATTGGGAGGAAGGGTGTTCTAGAATCACCCTCTGCAGACGTGTGGCTCCGCCGGGGAAAGCACCCAGGCTGCGGCAGGAATGGGGCTGGGTAGGTTTCAGAAGGACTTCCTGAGGCTGGTTGCGGAGATCAGGGTTTGTGTTATCTCCTGACCACTTCCCACCAGTGCCTGGCACTTCATGAAACCCCGAGCTTGCCGGCAGGGTGAGTTGCCTGGTGTGTGGAGGAAGGCTGGGAGAGGAGGAGGCTAAGGTGGGTGCCAGCCTCGACTGTGTCTCTGTACTCTTTCTTTCCGGGACCCAGAGTTGGAAATGTAAGTGGTACTGATGTCTTCTGCAAATCCTAGAATCCCCGGAACTGGAAGAAATCTTGACATGGCAGGATGTAAAATTAAGGAATTTCTAAGCCCTGGAGGCTCTAAGGAATAATTTCAAGAAAGACTAAGTATGAGAAAAAAATGTTAAATATGCCAATAATCTTTTATACTGATTCCATGCTAAAATTATATTTTGGATGTATTGGGTTAAATAAAACATTGTTAAAAATAATTTCATTGATTACTTTTTACTTTTTAAAATGTGGCTACCAGAAAATTAAAGATTACCGATGTGGCTCACATTTGTGACTCATATTATAGCCTATTGCGTAGCACTGTTTTAGAAGGCTGGCAACTTTAGCTCTTATGTTTATATCTATGATTTATATCAAATGAGTTTTTGGATATGGTGTTCCTCTTATTTCTTGTCATTTTTTTTTCCAGCACCATTTGTTGAAAACACTATCCTTTCCCCTTAAAGCATTTTTCAGAGACATATATGTGTGGTTTTATTCATCTACTCTTTATTCTATTCCACCGATTCATGGCTATCCTTATGCCAGTAACACAACCTTGATTCCTGGAGCTTTATAGTAAGTCTTGTAATCAGGTAGTGTGTATTTTCCAAGTTTCTTCTTTTTAAAAATTATTGTGGATATTCAAAGTCCTTCAGATTTCCATATAAATTGACAAATCAGCTTGGTAATTTCTTTTTAAAAAAAACCTGCCAGGATTTATTTTTATTTTTTATTTTTTTAAACTTTTAGGTTCAGCCCTGCCATGATTTTGATTGGAATTGCACTTAATCCACAGGTCAGTTGTGGGAGACTTGGTACCTCAACAATACTGAATATTCCAATCTTTGAACATAGTATTTCTCCGCCCTTATTTATGTCTTCTTTATTTCTTTTTTTGGGGGTGGGGTTGTTTTGTTTTTTATTTTTTTTTATTTCAATAGGTTTTTGGGAGAACAGGTGGTGTTTGGTTACATGAATAAGTTCTTCAGTGTTGATTTCTGAGATTTTGGTGCACCCATCACTTGAGCAGCATACAAAGTACCCAATGTGTAGTCTTTTATCTCTCACCTCCCTACCCCTCTTCCCCTGAGTCCTCAAAGTCCATTTTATCATTCTTATGCCTTTGCATCCTCATAGCTTAGCTACCATTTATGAGTGAGGACATACCATGTTTGGTTTTCCATTCCTGAGTTACTTCACTTAGAATAATGGTCTCCATTTCCATCCAGGTTGCTGCGAATGCCATTATTTCATTCCTTTTTATGGCTCAATAGTATTCCACGGTATACATATACATCATTTTCTTTATCCTCTCGATGATTTATGGGCATTTGGGCTGGTTCCATATTTTTGCAATTGCAAATTGTGCTGTTATTAACATGTATATGCAGGCATCTTCTTTGTATAATGACTTCTTTTCCTCTGGGTAGATATCCAATGGTGGGATTGATGGATCAAACAGTAGATCTACTTTTAGTTATTTAAGGATTCTCCATACTGTTTTCCGTAATTGTTGTACTAGTTTACATTCCCACCAGCAGTGTAAAAGTGTTCCCTTTTCGTCACATCCATGCCAACATCTATTTTTTTTTTGGTATTTTGATTATGGTCATTCTTGCAGGAGTGAGGTGTTATTGCATTGTGGTTTTGATTTGCCTTTCCCTGATCATTAGTGATGTTGGGCATTTTTTTCATATGTTTGTTGGCTATTTGTATATTTCTTTTGAGAATTTTCTATTCATGTCCTTAGTGCGTTTTTTGATGGGATTGTTTGTTTTGTTCTTTCTGATTTGTTTGAATTCTTTGTAGATTTTGGATATTAGTCCTTTGTCGGATGTGTAGATCAAAGATTTTCTTTCACTCTGTGTGTTGTCTGTTTACCCTGCTGATTGTTTCTTTGCTGTGCAGAGGCTTTTAGTCTAATTAAATCCCATCTATTTATCTTTGTTTTTGTTGCATTTGCTTTTGGGTTCCTGGTCATGAAGTCTTTGCCTAAGGCAATGTCTAGAAGGTTATTTTTTTATGTTGTCTTTTAAAATTTTTATGGTTTCATGTCTTAGATTTAAGTCTTTGATCCACCTTGAGTTGATTTTTGTATAGGATGAGAGAAGAGAATCCGGTTTCATTCTTCTATATATGGCCTGCCAATTAACCCAGGACCATTTGTTGAATACGGTGTCCTCTCCCCAGTTTATGTTTTTGTTTGCTTTGTTGAAGTTTGGTTGACTATAAGTACTTGGTTTTATTTCTGGGTCCTCTATTCTGTTCCACTGGTCTATAGGCCTATTTTTATACCAGTACCATGCTGTTTTGGTGACTGCAGCCTTATAGTATAGTTTGAAGTTGGGTAATGTAATGCCTCCAGATTTGTTCTTTTTGGTTAGTCTTACTTTGGCTATGCAGGGTCTTTTTTTGTTCCATATGAATTTTAGGATTATTTTTTCTAGTTCTGTGAAGAATGATGATGGTATTTTGATGAAAATTGCATTGAATTTGTAGTTTTTTTTTGGCAGTATGGTCATTTTCACAATATTGATTCAACCCATTCATGAGCATGGGATGTGTTTCCATTTGTCTGTGTCATCTGTGATTACTTTCAGCAGTGTTTTGTAGTTTTCCTTGTAGAGATCTTTCACCTCCTTGGTTAAGTATATTCCTAGGTACTTTATTTTTGTCACAGCTAAAGTAAAAGGGGTTGAGTTCTTGATTTGATTCTCAGCTTGGTGGCTGTTGGTGTATAGCAGAGCTACTGATTTTTGTACAATAATTTTGTATCGTGAAACTGCTGAATTTGTTCACCCATTCTAGGAGACTTTTGGATGAGTCCTTAGGGTTTTCTAGGTATACAATCATGTCATCAGCAAACAACGACAGTTTGACTTCCTTATGACCAATTTAGATGCACTTTATTTCTTTCTCTTGTCTGATTGCTCTGGTTAGGACTTCCAGTACTATGTTGAATAGAAGTGGTGAAAGTGGGAATCCTTGACTTGTCCCAGTTCTCAGCGGGAATGGTTTCAACTTTCCCCCGTTCAGTATAATGTTGGCTCTGGGTTTGTCATAGATGCCTTTTATTTCCTTAAGGTATGTCCCTTCTATGCTGATTTTGCTGAGGGTTTTTTTTTTTTTTTTTTTTTGAGATGGAGTCTCGCTCTGTGGCCCAGGCTGGATGCAGTGGCACGATCTCCGCTCACCCGCCTCCTGGGTTCACGCCATTCTCCTGCCTCAGCCTCCCAAGTAGCTGAGACTAGAGGCGCCCACCACCACGCCCGGCTAATTTTTTGTATTTTTTTTGTAGAGACGGGGTTTCACCACGTTAGCCAGTATGGTCTTGATCTCCTGACCTCGTGATCCACCCCCCTCAGTCTTCCAAAGTGCTGGGATTAAAGGCGTTAGCCACCATGCCCAACCCTGCTGAGGGTTTTAATCATAAAGGGATGCTGGATTTTGTGAAATGATTTTTCTGCATCTATTGAGATGATCATGTGATTTTTGTTTTTAATTCTGTTTATGTGGTGTATTACATTTATTGACTTTCATATGTTAAACCATCCTTGCATATCTGGTAGGAAACCCACTTGATCATGGTGGATTATTGTTTTGATATGCTGTTGGATTCTGTTAGCTAGCTTTTTTTTTTTTTCCAGACGGAGTTTCGCTCTTGTTGCCCAGGCTGGAATGCAATGGCGAGATCTCGGCTCACCCCAACCTCCGCCTCTTGGGCTCAAGCGATTCTCCTGCCTCAGCCTCCCAAGTAGCTGGGACTACAGGCATGCACCACTACGCCCAGCTAATTTTGTATTTTTAGTAGAGATGGGGTTTCTCCATGTTGGTCAGGCTGGTCTTGAACTCCTGGCCTCAAGTGATCAGCCCACCTTGGCCTCCCAAAGTGCTGGGATTACAGGTGTTAGCCACCACGCCCGGCCACTAGTATGTTTTGAGGATTTTTGCATCTATGCTCATTAGGTATATTGGCCTGTAGTTTTGTTTTTTTTTGTTATGTCCTCTCCTGGTTTTGGTATTAGGGTGATACTGGTTTCATAGAATGATTTAGAGGGGATTCCCTCTTTCTCTACCTTTTGGAATAGTGTCAGTGGTATAGGTACCATTTTTTGAATGTCTGATAGAATTCCGCTGTGCATCCATCTGGTTCTGGGCTTTTTTTTGTTGTTGGTACCTTTTTTTTTTTTCTTTGAGGTGGAGTTTCACTCTTGTCGCCCAGGCTGGAGTGCAATAGCACGGTCTCTGCTCACTGCAACCTCCACTTCCTGGGTTCAAGTGATTCTCCTGCCTCAGCCTCCCGAGTAGCTGGGATTCCAGGCATGTACCACCACCCCTGGCTAATTTTTTTGTATTTTTAGAAGAGACGGAGTTTCTCCATGTTGGTCAGGCTGGTCTCAAACTCCCGACCTCAGGTGATCTGCCCGCCTAGGCCTCCCAAAGTGCTGGGACTACAGGCGTGAGCCACTGCGCCCGGCCGGTAATTTTTTAAATTACCATTTTTTTTTTTTTATTGATCATTCTTGGGTGTTTCTCACAGAGGGGGATTTGGCAGGGTCATAGGACAATAGTGGAGGGAAGGTCAGCAGATAAACAAGTGAACAAAGGTCTCTGGTTTTCCTAGGCAGAGGACTCTGCGGCCTTCCGCAGTGTTTGTGTCCCTGGGTACTTGAGATTAGGGAGTGGTGATGACTCTTAACGAGCATGCTGCCTTCAAGCATCTGTTTAACAAAGCACATCTTGCACCACCCTTAATCCATTTAACCCTGAGTGGACACAGCACATGTTTCAGAGAGCACAGGGTTGGGGGTAAGGTCACAGATCAACAGGATCCCAAGGCAGAAGAATTTTTCTTAGTACAGAACAAAATGAAAAGTCTCCCATGTCTACTTCTTTCTACACAGACACGGCAACCATCCGATTTCTCAATCTTTTCCCCACCTTTCCCCTCTTTCTATTCCACAAAACCGCGATTGTCATCCTGGCCCGTTCTCAATGAGCTGTTGGGTACACCTCCCAGACGGGGTGGTGGCCGGGCAGAGGGACTCCTCACTTCCCATTAGGGGCGGCCAGGCAGAGGAGCCCCTCACCTCCCTCCCGGAGGGGGCGGCTGGCCGGGCGGGGGGCTGACACCCCCACCTCCCTCCTGGATGGGGCGGCTGGCCTGGCGGGGGCTGACCCCCACCTCCCTCCCAGACAGGGTGGCTGCCGGGCGGAGACGCTCCTCACTTCCCAGACGGGGCGGCTGCCAGGCAGAGGGTCTCCTCACTTCTCAGACGGGGCGGCCGGGCAGAGACGCTCCTCACCTCCCAGACGGGGTCGCGGCAGGGCAGAGGCGCTCCTCACATCCCAGACGGGGCGGCGGGGCAGAGGTGCTCCCCACATCTCAGACGATGGGCAGCCGGGCAGAGACGCTCCTCACTTCCTAGATGGGGATGGAGGCCGGGAAGAGGCGCTCCTCGCTTCCTAGATGGGATGGCGGCCGGGCAGAGACGCTCCTCACTTTCCAGACTGGGCAGCCAGGCAGAGGGGCTCCTCACATCCCAGACGATGGACGGCCAGGCAGAGACACTCCTCACTTCCCAGATGGGGTGGCGGCCGGGCAGAGGCTGCAATCTCAGCACTTTGGGAGGCCAGGGCAGGCGGCTGGGAGGTGGAGGTTGTAGCGAGCCGAGATCACGCCACTGCACTCCAGCCTGGGCACCATTGAGCACTGAGTGAACGAGACTCTGTCTGCAATCCTGGCACCTTGGGAGGCCGAGGCTGGCAGATCACTCGCGGTTAGGAGCTGGAGACCAGCCCGGCCAACACAGCGAAACCCCGTCTCCACCAAAAAAATACGAAAACTAGTCAGGTGTGGCGGCGCGCGCCTGCAATTGCAGGCACTCGGCAGGCTGAGGCAGGAGAATCAGGCAGGGAGGTTGCAGTGAGCCGAGATGGCAGCAGTACAGTCCAGCTTCGGCTCGGCATCAGAGGGAGACCCTGGAAAGAGAGGGAGAGGGAGACTGTGGGGAGAGGGAGAGGGAGGGGGAGGGGGAGGGGGAGGGGGAGAGGTAGAGCCTAAATTACCATTTCAATCTCACTGCTTGTTATTGGCCTGTTCAGGGTTTCCATTTCTTCCTGGTTTAATCTAGGAGGGTTGTATATTTTCAGGAATTTATCCATGTCCTCTAGGTTTTCTAGTTTATGTGCATAAAGGTGTTCATAGTAGCCTTGAATGATCTTTTGTATTTCTGTGGTATTGGTTGTAATATCTTCTGTTTTGTTTCTAATTGAGCTTATTTGAATCTTCTTCCTTCTTTTCTTGGTTAATCTTACTAATTGTCTATCAATTTGATTTATCTTTTCAAACAACCAGCTTTTTGTTTCATTTATCTTTTGTAATTTTTTGTTTCAATTTCATTTAGTTTTGCTCCGATCTAGGTTATTTTTTTTTCTTCTGCTCATTTGGGTTTGGTTTGTTCTTGTTTCTCTAGTTCCTGGAGGTGCGACCCTAGATTGTCTATTTGTGCTCTTTCAGACTTTTTGATGTAGGCATTTAATGCTATGAACTTTCCTCTTAGCACTGCTTTTTCTGTATCCCAGAGGTTTTGATAGGTTCGGTCACTATAATCATTCAGTTCAAGGAATTTTTTTTTTTTTTTTTTTGGAGACAGAGTCTTGCTCTGTCACCCAGGCTAGAGTGCAGTGGCACCATCTCGCCTCACTGCAATCTCTACCTCCCGGGTTCAAGCAAAGCAATTCTCCTGTCTCAGCCTCCTGAGTAGCTGGGACTACAGGTACCCACCACCACACCAAGCTAATTTTTGTATTTTTAGTATAGACAAGGTTTCACCATATCAGTCAGGCTGCTCTCAAATCCCTGACCTCAGGTGATCCACCCACCTTGGCCTCCCAAAGTGTGGGGATTACAGGATTGAGCCACCACACAGGCCAGTTCAAAGAATTTTTGTATTTCCATCTTGATTGTATTGTTGATCCATTGATCATTCAGGAGCAGGTTACTTAATTTCCACGTATGTGCATGGTTTTGAGGGCTCCTTTTGGTGTTGATTTCCAATTTTATTCCACTGTGGTCTGAGAGAGTACCTGACATAATTTCAATTTTCTCAAATTTGTTAAGACTTGTTTTGTGGCCTATCATATGATTTATCTTGGAGAATGTTCCATGTGCTAATGAATAGAATGTACATTCTGCAGTTGTTGGGTGGAGTGTTCTATAAATATCTGTTAAATCCATTTGTTCTAGGGTAGAGTTTAAGTCCATTGTTTCTTTGTTGACTTTCTATCTTGATGACCTGTCTAGTGCTGTCAGTAGAGTATTAACATCCCCCACTATTGTTGTGTTGCCATCTATCTCATTTCTTAAGTCTAGTAGTAATTGTTTTATAAATTTAGGAGCTCCAGTATTAGGTGCACATATATTTAGGATTGTGATATTTTCCTGTCAGACTAGTCCTTTTGTCATTATATAATGTCCCTCTTTGTCTTTTTAAACTGTTGTTGCTTTAAAGTCTATTTTTTTCTGATAGAAGAATAGCTACTCCTGTTTGCTTTTGGTGCCCATTTGCATGGAACATCTTTTTCCATCACTTTATCTTAAGTTTGTATGTGTCCTTATGTGTTAGGTGAGTCTCTTGAAGACAGCAAATACTTAGTTGGGGAATTCTTATCCATTTTGCAATTCCATATCTTTCAAGTGGAGCATTTAGGCCATTTACATTAAGTGTTAGTATTGAGATGTGAGGTACTATTCTATTCATTATGCTAGTTGTTGCCTAAATACCTTTTTTTTTTTTTTTTGTAGTGTGATTATTTTATAGGCCCTGTGAGATTTATGCTTTAAGCAGGTCACATTTTGGTATATTTCAAGATTTTGGTTCAAGATTTAGAACATCTTTTAGTAGTTCTTATAGTGCTGGCTTGTTAGTGGCAAATTCTCTCAGCATTTGTTTGTATGAAAAATACTTTATCTTTCCACTGGGCACAGTGGCTCATGCCTGTAATCCTAGCACTTTGGGAGGCCGAGGCAGGCGGATCATGAGGTCAGGAGATGGAGAGCATCCTGGCTAACATGATGGAACCCCATCTCTACTAAAAATACAAAAAATTAGCTGGGCGTGGTGGTGGGCGCCTGCAGTCCCAGTTACTTGGGAGGCTGAGGCAGGAGAATGGCATGAACCCAGGAGGCGGAGCTTGCAGTGAGCTGAGATTGTGCCACTGCACCCCAGCCTGGGTGACAGCAAGACTCCGTCCCAAAAAAAAAAAAAAAGAAAAATACTTTATCTTTTCCTTCATCACTTTTACTGGATACAAAATTCTGGGTTGATAATTATTTTGTTTAAGTGTCTAAAGATTGGACCCCAATCCCTTCTAGCTTGTAGGGTTTCTGCTGATAAATCTGCTGTTAATCCGATAGGTTTTCCTTTACAGGTTACTTGATGCCTTTGCCTCACAACTCTTAAGATTCTTTCCTTCATCTTGACCCTAGATAACCTGATGACTATGTGTCTAGGTGATGATCTTTTTGAGATGAATTTCCCAGGTGTTCTTTGAGCTTCTTGTATTTGAATGTCCAAATCTGTAGCAAGGCCAGGGAAGTTTTCCTCAATTATTCCCTCAAATAAAATTTTCAAACTTGCAGATTTCTCTTCTTCCTCAGGAACACCAATTATTCTTAAGTTTGGTCATTTAACATGATCCCAAACTTCTTGGAGGCTTTGTTCATTTGATTCTTTTTTCTTTGTTTTTGTCAGAGTTAATTTGAAAGCCTTGTCTTAGAGCTCTGAAGTTCTTTCTTCTAGTTGTTTGATTCTATTGTTGAAACCTGCCATAGTATTTTGCACTTCTCTAAGGGTGTCCTTCATTTCCAGAAGTTGTGATTGTTTTTTATTTATGATATTTATTTCTCTGAAGATTTTTCATCTATATTCTGTATTATTAAAAACTTTCTTTAGTTAGTTTTCACCTTTCTGTGGTGCTTCCTTAAGCAGCTTAACAATTCACCTTCTGAATTCTTTTTCTGGCAATTCAGAGATATCTTCTTGGTTTGGGTCCATTGCTGGTGAACTAGTGTGATCTTTTTGGGGTGTTGAAGAACTTTGCTTTGTCATATTACCAGAATTGTTTTTCTGGTTCCTTCTCATTTGGGAAGACGATGTCAGAGGAAAGATCTGGGACTCAAAGGCTCCTGTTCAGATTCTTTTGTCCCATGGGGTGATCCGTTGATGTGGTGCTCTCCCCTTCCCCTCGGGATGGGGCTTCCTGAGAGTTGGGCTGCAATTATTGTTATTGTTCTTCTGGGTCTAAACCACCCGTGAAGCTACTGGTCTCCAGGCTGATAATGGGGAGTGTCTGCAGAGTCCTGTGATGTGATCCATCATCAGGTCTCTTAGCCATGGATACCAGCACCTGCTCTGGTGGAGGTAGCAGGGAAGTGAAGTGGAGTCTCTGAGAATCCTTGGTTTTAGTTTTGTTTAATATGCTGATTTTCTCAAATGCTGGTCATGCTCAGACTCTCCTTGGGTGGGGCTTGCTGTGGTCACTGTGTGGGATGGGAGGCTGGTTCTCAGGCCAATGGAGTTATGGAGTGAGATTATGGCTGCCTCTGCTGCTTCATACAGGTCACCAGGGAAGTGGGTGAAAGCCTGCAGTGACAGGCCTCACCCAGCTCCCATCTTGCTCCAGGCTATAAGCCTCCCTACTGAGAAAGCAGTCAGGGCTTTCAGGTCTCACCCCTCCCTGCCTGCCATGGCTTCTGTGCTCATATCTGCCTTTATCGTTCACCCCTTCCACCCTTGATATTGCCCAGGAAAATTCACGCTTGGTCAAAATTATTACAAAGTTTTACTGGAAGCCTCCTTCTCCTTGTGGCCCTTCCCCAATTCCACTGTCTGCCCTCCCAAGGGACCGCTGTGAGATATAGTCAGAAATGGCTTCCCTGGGCTTCCCTAGGCCCAGGAGTGCCTACAGGGCTCTTCCCACTGCTTCTTCTACTTTCATATTTCACTCGACTCTCTATAAATTTGTTTCAGCTCTAGGTAAGGTTAAATACTTCTCCCGTGATTCAGATTTTCGGTTCCCCAGTGAGGATGTGTGTTTGGAGGCAGACTTTCCCTCTCTCACACTTTGGGAACTCACAGTTTTTCAGATGTCTCACAGAGTTTGCAGCGGCAAGTCACTTCTTTCAAAGGGTCTGTGAATTTTGTTGGTTTTCCTGATATGATCCTGCGGTGGTTCTTGAATCAAAAGTTCACGATGTGAGTCACCACATGCGGTTCTGTCTGCCCCAGGAAGGGCTGCAGTTAGTCCTGCCTCTTATCTTCCGTTTTTCTCCAGATCTGTTTGTTTACTTTTTACTATTAGTGAAAATCTAGGGGAGCAAACATCATTGAAGTAATATGGTAAGCAGAAGAATGGGCCCACAAAATGTCCATATCCTAAGCCTTGGAGCCTATGAAAATGTTCCCTAATATGGCACACAGGACTTTGCCACTCACTCTGCAGGGCCAGACCTACAAGACCTTCTGGTCTCAATTGCAAAGTCGGTGAAAATGTCTTCAGCATATCTAAAAGCTGAATATCAGAATAGGGCTAATTCAAATCAAAATTGTGTGCTGTTCTAAATATATATCTTTAGCTTCCTTTTTTAAAAGTGTTTTTTCATTTCAGATGATATTGAAGACTAGTTTACATTTTTAATGTGCTTTATGGTCAGTGACTGGAAAGTTGAAACTGAAATGAGTCAGTTTAAAATTTTCATGTTTTACTCAATTCTATTCAAATTTCAATCACTTACTAGTTTATGTAACCGAATTATTCATGAGGTAAATTGCAGCTTAAAAAAATCAATCACAAAGATAACCATTTCAAGAGTACACAAAATCATAATGCCCACTTCATATTCACAGTTTACAACTCTAAGTATACAACTTTAATTATGATTATTGTTATTATTATCATTATCATTATTTGAGACAGGGTCTCACTCTATCACCCAGGCTGGAGTACAGCGGCTGTGGCATGGTCCTGGCTCACTGCAGCCTTGACCTCTTGGGCTTAGGTGATCCTCTCACCTCAGCCTCCTGAGTAGCTGGGACTACAGGCATGTGCCACCAAGCCTGGCTAATTTTCTTGTATTTTGGTAGAGAAGGGGTTCTGTCAGTTATTCAGGCTGGTCTGGAACTGCTGGGCTCAAAGGATCTGCCCACCTCAGCCTCTCAAAGTGCTGGGATTACAAGCGTGAGCCACCGCTACCAGCCATCTGTAAGTATTAACCACAGCTAGGCCGGGCGCGGTGGCTCATGCCTGTAATCCCAGCACTTTGGGAAGCCGAGGCAGGCGGATCATGAGGTCAGGGGATCGAGACCATCCTGGCTAACATGGTGAAACCCCATCTCTACTAAAAATACAAAAAATTAGCCAGGTGTGGTGGCGGGCACATGTAGTCCCAGCTACTCAGGAGGCTGAGGCAGGAGAATGGTGTGAACCCGGGAGGCCGAGCTTGCAGTGAGCCGAGATAGCACCACTGCACTCCAGCCTGGGCAATAGAGCGAGACTCCATCTCAAAAAACAAACAAACAAACAAACATAAAAAAGCCCAGAGTATTAACACTTGCTTATGATGCAATTTGAGAGCAAACACTTTTTGTACTTTTAAATGAAATTGTGCTGGGAAATACAAGGCAAAAAAACTGGGAAAATTTGTTTTTGTTAACAGAAGATGATGCAATAAGGAATCCAGATGAAACATAAGACCAGTGTTTACAATTTCTCATAAAAAGTGTAATTTTCAGCTGTAGCCTCATAGCTAGCTAACAGCTTTTAAAAACATGTACAGCCAGCCAACAGTTCTCTAAAGCATGTTTATGCTGCACTAAAAGATCCCTGCTAAACATCAACTGTACTTAAATGGGTTTTACTGAAGTAGGACTTTCATGATACTTTTAAAAGCCAGTCGTTTAAAAAGTGAATATGATAGGGCTACAATAATAACATTACTATTTTTTTCCCTTGGTTAATATGCCTCTATTTGAAACAAACCTACAGGTGCTTCTTAATACCATGGAATCATGAATTCTTGCAGTTATCAGCGTTTCCTAATGATTAAAACAATGTTCACATAATTACAAAGTTATTTCATCAAAATACTTAGAAGTATTTTGATTTTCTGAGGAGTGTTTGAAAGCTCTGTTTATAAATAGTGATTGTTACATTTATTATGTATTTGGTGCTGAAGATAAACACTTTTTACATAAAACAGTGTTTTAATATACTGGTCTACTAATGAGGCTAGTTATTAGATATACTGTATGTTAACACTGAAGAATAAAGCTTTATCTTCATATTTATTTTATTTGTAGGTCTCTTATCAATGAAGAACTTTGTATCCAACAATAATAAACTGTCATATTGCAAGTTGCATTTTGTAGAAGCAAAAAAGACTGGCTGTGACGAAATAAAGAAGGTATTTGCATTATACATGCTTCTTACAAACAGTCCATTCTGAATGGTAGAATTAAATGCAAACCAAATGCTTTTAAATGTTTGTGTGCCTAGATGGCAACTACAATCTCCACACACTTAAAAGAACAATAACACAGAACACAGTATCCTTAATGATTGTAGCACATTTAACACCTTCAGCCATCACTGGGTTTTCAGATCATATTGGCAATTGAAATTTCACATCCACATGCGCTTGCTTTGCTTCACTATTTCAGAGAGCTTTACAAGCACTCTAGCAGCTTCCACCAAATCATCACAAGCAAGTATTTTAAGTCCACTGTCTGCTTTTAGTGCCTTAACATCATCAACTTGTGTACCTTGTAACTGTACCACAACAGGTATTTTAATTTCCAAACTTTTTACTGCCATGACTATACCCTTTGCTGTAATATCACAGTGCATGATTCCTCCACAAATGTTGACCAGAATAGCCAGTACCTTTTTATCTGAAGTGATAGGCTTAAATGCTTCTGTTACTTGATGGACTGTAGCACCACCACCAACAAGGAAATTAGCTGGAGTCTCTCCATGAAGTTTTATTATATCCATTGTGGCCATAGCCAAACCAGCACCATTTACTAGGCAGCCTATACTTCCATCGAGGCCAGTGTAGTTGAGATCTGCCTTAGCAGCATCTTTGTTCCTTTCATCTTCCTGGGTCCAGTCCTGTAGATCAAACATTTTCTTTTGGCGATAGGCTGAATTAGAGTCAAAATTGATCTTTGCATCCTTACACAATGCAGCTCCATCTGAATCTTCCACCATTGAATTTATTTCTATCATGGTTGCATCGTATTTCAGAAAAAGGCTGTAAAGCTTGATCATGTTTTCTGCTGCTGAAGCCACAATATTAGATGGAAATCCCATCTTCTGTGCAAGCTGGAGAGCTTATTCCTCTTTGATACCTTCTACAATATCAATAGGTACTTTAATTATTGCTTCAGGAGTCTCAGCAGCAACATCTTCAATGTTGGCCCCACTATGTAAACTTCCTATTAATACAAGACCTTGAAATGACCTTTCCATTGTTATTGCAAAGTAGCACTCTCTCTTGGGATATTTTCACTCACAGACCAATACCTGATTGCATATTCTGCCCTTTTCTCCCATTTGCTTGGTAAACAACTGTTTCCTAATCATTTGTGAAGGAACAGCTTTTGCTTCTTCTGGAGAGAAAACCATCTTCACTCCTCCTTTGAGGCCACTTTCAAATGTTCCTTTTCCTCTACCACCAGCTAAAACCTGTGCCTTCATCACAACATCTTTTGAACCTAATTTTTTGGCAATTGCATAAGCTTCATCTGGTCACTTTGCCACATATCCTTTGGGAACAGAGACACCAGTTTCTTGCAATAATTCCATACTCATGTATTCATGTAGTGAGAGATTCCTTTGCTGTTGCTGCTGTACTTGGAGTCCATGGTTATTAAACAATCCAGAACTTCCCAGAACCTGAGCAGCAGCCCGCAGTGTGGTCCGAAGGGTGGCGGCCACCAACAGCGGGTGGAAGAACATGGAGGCCACCATTTCTGAGTCTAACATTACTATTAATAAAAGTTACAGAAGAGATTATTGCTGTAGTTTTCCTCATAAACACCATCAAATTTCGTTGCAGTTACAAAAAGTACAACCATGTTACTTTTTCTCTTACCAAATTTCATTGTCTTCCATGTCTGTAAAGTTTTTATTCAGTAGAAGATAATTCTTCCACTCTTTTCTGTAAGAATTCAAAGTATTTAAATGTGTAACTTCATACTATATTACCATGTTTTTCCCTTCTTGTTTCATATATATACGTATATATATGTATATACGTATATATATGTATATATATACGTATATATGTATATATGTGTATATATGTATATGTGTATATATGTATATATGTGTATATATGTATATATGTGTATATATGTATATATATGTGTATATATGTATATATATGTGTGTGTATGTGTATATATATATATATATATATATATATATATATATATCTCATTTTTCAAAAAGGAAACCAGGTGTCCACATTTTAAAGAAACCCTGCATGGGTTTGGACAATGAGAAGAAAAAATTTTAAAAAGCCTACAAAAAAGTTTCAGAGCTATAAAAGATTTTCATATGGCATGAAGTGATCTCCTGCTAGTCCAGAGTTCAAAAACACTCTAATGAAGTTCATTTATATATATTTTGTTTGCTTTTCATGGAATACTACATTTATTGAGGTGAAATCACCTGTTTTTTTTTTTAGCTATTTAAGTCAACAAGGGTACACAAGTGTTTTTCAATACAGTTATTAAAAATAGGAGACCAACTTGAATGTGCCAGATGGATTCCATTCAGTTGGGTTTCTAGAGTCATCAGGAAGAACGTTAGAGAAAAGATTTCCTTGTTTGGTTTCTATAGCTTGATAGACCAAAAAACAAACAAACAAAACCTACTACAACAACAAACAGCAAAATTTTTGTCCATACAGAAATGGCTCATTCTTTTTTTGTCTTTTCTGACTTGACATCTGCCAAGGGAACACACTTAGGAACATATTTAGATGAAAAAGATTCTGCCATCCTGAACTCAGTGAGTTCTAATGGCCTGCCTGTAGCCCCTTTGACTGGTCTGCAGCAATTCCTGTTGGTGTAGATGCTTCATAGGGCAACATTTCCTTAAGAATATCCCTTTCTACTCTTCTTTATTCTGTTCCCCCCCAACCCCAGTGGTCTCTTTGGAGTTTGGGGTATGTTTGAAAATTTACTGAGTTGCAGAATAGGAGCTGCATGCTTGAAATTTCCAGTCATCCTACTGACAACGAAGGTTTTGTGTCCTGAAGCCATTAGAGTTTCAGCTGTGGGAGCACTCTCTGAAATTACTGCACTGTCTATTGGAAAATGTTCTGGTTTCCACCCTCTTCCTTGGCCTTCTCCTCCGGTCTCTGGTAGACTCCCTACTCCAGGCCTGCAGAGCTCCGCCTTCTGAAGCTCCACTTGTGCGTTCAGCCTCAGTTATTCCAGCGTGAGAATAGCTCTGACTATCTCAAGTCTTCTTTTCTTCAGTGTTACTGGAGTCTTTGCTCTGCCCTTTAGTGGTTCTGTCTTCTCAAGCTTGATCTTTACTTTAGTCTTCTTCATTGTCACAGTATCTATTAGAACCTTTATTTCAATTCTGCCTTCCATTTTCTGCTGAAGATTAAATTGTTAATCCGCCGAGATGGGCGGATCCCTTGAGCTCAGGAGTTGGAGACCAGCCTGGACAACACGGGGAAAGCCCGTCCCTACCAAAAATACAAAAAAAAAAAAAAAAAAAAAAAAAAAAAAAAAAAAATGTAGCCAGGCGAGGTGGCGCATGCCTGTGGTTCTAGCCACTCAGGAGTCTGAGGCACGAGAATCTCTTGAACCCGGGAGGCGGAGGCCGCAGTGAGCCGAGAGCCGAGATCGCGCCACTGCACGCCAGCCTGGGCGACAGATCGTCCTCGTTCCTTCGGTTTCAAGGTTTTTTTCTCACATCGCTTCCTGGTTGTTCTCCAGTAGGACTAGGTTTCTCTTCATACCTCGCAAGCGGGTCCACGAGATCTTCATTAGTGAGCGCGGTTACCTCGAGATCAGCTTTATCTTTTGGTCTGAGTTGAACTGTTTTCTTCATGGCTTTCCTGCTGTGGGTGGCCTGGCTCTGGAGCCAGCTGGGGGAGGCGGGGCCCTCGCTGTCGGCGCCGCGGCGGGGTAGAGGTAGCGGCGGGGTAGAGGTAGGGCCGAGTGCTGCAGGCGAGGCTGCGCGTCCTGGTCTCTGCGCTGCTCCGGGCCGGGAGCCTCACTTTAATGGCGACCAACTCACTCATCAACTTGTCTTTCGTCAGGACCCAGGAGTCTTCCAGGAACGCTGGCATATCCAGGAGCTGCGAGTCCCGCTCCCGGCAGCCTTCGCAGCCTCCGGTCCCGCCCGAGCTCGCCCGGGCCTCGCGGCTCCCGCCCCGGAGGAGCGCCGCGGAGCAGGGCAAAAACTTGCGGACAGAAAGCCAGGCCAGACCCGACACAAAAGCCCCGGGGCTGAACGATGCAGACACCCGCGGCCAAGCCGGAAGCCCGCACCAACCCCAGCCCCCACACTACAGGCCACTTATTTTATTTTATTCTTTTTAAAATGTGGGTTTCTGGTCTATGCAATTCACCTCGGTGTGACTCAGGAAGGACACTGGAAGTCCACTGATCTGGCCAGGACAGAACCACGTGTGTGTTTAGGAAAAGTGGCCTTCTGTTCTCCATCCCTAGGGGCTCACGGGATACCCTTAGAACAGACTGGCCACAGGAATTCCCAGTTAAGGCAGAAGGTTGACATGAGATCAGTGTTTCAGGATTAAGTTCTCACGAAGGGCAGAAAACTGGGAAGCCCATACTTTTCCACGTTAATCAATTGGTTCCATAAACATCATTCCATTTATGTTTTTGTGTTTTTTATTAATAATTCCTTTGAGCTTCACTGGGAGAGATGAGTATGACTGTGGAGCTCAGTTCTGTAAAGCATGGGGTGGCTAAGAAAGGGAAGTAACTGGCCCCAGAATCCCACAGTCACCCAGTGACCTTCAGCCCAAGAATCTGATGGCCACTGCTGCACTCCAAGGGAAAGGAGGCCATCCGGAGAGAAGAGAATTACAAGAATAAGAGTGCAGAGAGTGTCCCACAGTCCTGAGATTCGTACAGAAGCACAGGAGGAAGCAAGTGTCCAAGTATCCAGAGTCCTGTGAAGTAGGGATTTCAGTCCTCAAAGCTACCCTCTCCCATCTGCCAAGTCTTCTGTGGACGTGCGTGGCTGTGTTTCCCTTCCCATTCCCTTTGGGCAGTGTGCTATAGGTTTCCATGTGAGGGCCAGTACTCCTTGCCTCTCATCTCCCTCTCCATTTTGCCGCAAATGCAAGGGACCCCATACTCGCCCTTGCCCCACCTCTTGCCTCTCCTGGGGACATTCTTCCTGCTCAGTAGTGGGCCTTGTGAGGACCTGCAGGACAGCCTGAGTGGGAGCTACCCCAAGGGCCCAAGGAGTTCCAGGAACCCCATCTGCACTCACTCACCTCCCCATCAAGCGCCCCTGCATTCTTCCTGCACTGCACTCCAGGTGTTGACAGCTCCTGGGCAGGGTAGCAGGTTCCAGGGAGCCCAGGCTGAATGGAGCTTGGGAGCTGAGGTCCTCTGCTGGGGATTCACTGTTCCAAGAGGACAGGATTCTGCCTTTATGGGGGAAGGGCTGGATAGGAACCAGGAGACCAGTTATAGGCCCGTTGCTATCAATCCTGGGACCAGTTAATTGATCTGTGTTCAGTACAGGATAGCAAAAACGGACTTGACCTTTTCTCTGTGTAACTTTTTTCAGAAACCATCACGTCCAGCCTTCCTTCCCTGGGCACAGAGGAGACCTGCCTCAGGCGAAGTTCTTCTGTGGAATTAAAAAGTCTCTTGGGCTCAGCTCTCCCCAGGGGCCTTCAGAACTCACCAAGGATAGAGCTGCAGACCTCTGGTGGTCAAATAGGGACTAAAACCGATTACACCTACAAGTCAATTGCAAATCAGTCTTTCTTTCTGTTGCACCTGTGCCCCTCACTTAGTCACCTGTCTTAGATGGAAGCTTCGGGCCCCTCCTGGGCCCCAACCCTGCGGTCCCCAGGTTCCCGGTTTTTCACGTCTAATCTCAATTGGCCCCTTCCCCACACACCGTGTTTGACCACCCAGTTCACAGAACGCCCCGGGCTTCCTAGTGGGCCAGGTCCTCCTTAGAGAGGCAAGAAGGTGGAGAGGGAGCGTGGACGCCGAGCGCCTGCTGGGCAAACCCGAATCTGGGGCCTGACCTAGCCGGTAGCCGGTGACGGGGCCGGTGGTGGCTTGGAGACTCCTCTCTGGTCCTCTGCTCTTGGCCCCAGCCCCGCGCTCACAGCCACCTCCTGAAGCCGCCAGTGCTGCGTCCTCTTGGCCACGTAGGGGAAGAGCGGACTGGACGGAAGCAGCGGACTCTGGGCGCTGTCAAGGTCACTGTTGTGAAAAGCCGGGAGACCAGATGTGGACACAGGGAGGCCTGGACCCGAGGCGCGGCTGGCCAGAGGCCTCGTGTCTGCCCCTCTTCACAGCTTCCAGGGAAGCTCCCCGCGTATCCTCAAAGCAGAGAGCGGTTTCCAAACGGACCCCCACAGCGCCCGATTGGGCCATCCCGCCCCAGGCTGGAGGGTGGGTGCTCATGGGGTCGCCAGTCACCAAGGGCCCCATCTGAGCGCACCCGGTCCCTCCTCCAGGCTCGCCTGGGCCTCGAGGGCGGCGAACAGCTCGGCTTTGAAGAAGGCTCCGGCCGGCGCTGCCCAAGTCGGGCAGCCTTCCTGGCCCACCCGGGAGTTGAGTTTCAAGGCTTCCCGGAGAGGCCAGCCCAGATTCGCAGCGGAGAGTTTCTCAGGCCACAAACCTCGGAGAGAAGCAGCCGTGGTTCCCTGTGCCCTGGGCCACCGCTGGGCGGGGCAGGAAGCCTCCCTGGCGTTTCCTCGCGGGCGCGACTACGAGCCGCGGAAACCAGTGGCCGCTCCACACTATTTAAGCTGAGGTTCCTCTGCCATGGCTGCGGTTTGCGGTTTCAGCTTAGTGTACCACTTAGTACTAATATTATTACTTAGTGAACTTAGTGCACTTAGTGCTCTAAGTTTACCAAGTTTACCATTTATTGTACTTAGTGTACTTAGTGCTCTAAGTTTACCAAGTTTACCACTTAGTGTACCTAGTCTACTTAATCAACACTTAGTGTATTTAGTGTTTCAGCTTAGTGTAGAGAGGCTTCTTTCTTCCTTTTCTGGAGGAGTCAGTGGTTAGAGACGATTTCCGTGGTTAGAGCGTACTTGGTCTTTAGAAGACGACTTTGGTGTCCATTGCCAACCCCATCAGAGATCGCAGGCCTTTTCCCCTCAGTCCCAGCTCATCAGCAAAGGTCTGGGTGGCTGTCTCCAGAGGAGACTGAACGAGGTTGTCAAAGCGGCTGGATCAAAAGTGTTGCCATGTCGGATGGAGTGGTGTCCACGATGAACCTGAGCATGGTACCAGCATCTGGGGGTGTGGAATTGGGAGGGAAAGCTGGGGCCCCACAGTGTGAGGAAGGAGGAGCATGGTCAAACCAGACTGGGCAGAGTCCTCGGTATTTAGGAATCTCTAAATACTAAATACTAAATCTCTAAATACTAAATACTGAGCTGGGATGGAATCTCTGTGCTGGAGGCTACTGGTGCAAACATTTTTTCCGCATGAGGTTCAGAAAGGTTAGGCGGCGGTTTCTCATCTGCAGGCACAGGTGACTGACTGCCTTCAGCATGGGCCCATCTGTCCATCTCTCCTCCTGACCCTGGTCTCATTACAGGAGAGGGAACTGGGTGCTAGAGGGTGGGGAATCCAGGATGTCAGAGGTGTCACACCTGGATAAAGCGTTTTGAAAACACAAGTCCCAGGGCTGATTATTGATTTTACCACATGCAGCCTGTTTTTATTTATGAAGTTTCTTTTCTTTTCCCTTAACTTCCAATGATACACTATAATGTACATCAATGTCCTTAAAATGTATGTAGTCCTCTTCATCTAGTGACTATACTGATCCTCAAGTATCCATTCTCTAGTCAAGGGTTATACCTGTTTCTCCTACCCCACGGCAGTGCTGGGTCTGGTGTACCCCTCCCGCAGTATCGCCTCCCCCTAAATAAGCACGTTTCCCTATAATTTCTTACTTTTTCTCTATGCCTTCCCATCATGTTTGCACTCACTGTGAAGTAAGGAAACGCTTCCTAATTCTGTTATTCCTTCCTACTCTTAGGAGATTTCTCCCTCTGCGCTGAGGATCTCACTGTGCACCTCCAGCCCTGGGTCCTGGTGGGCTCTGGTGGCCACTGGAGTCTTTGGAACTGCCTCCCTCTGGCTCTGCTGGGTGAGTGCTCTTCTGTCTTCTGTTTCTCCACTGATAAAAACAAATCCGAGAACATGTTCACAATAACACTTCCAGAAAGGATGGTGTGGAAGGGGATAAGGAGTAGGGGAAGGAACTCCACTCCCTTGGATGAATTTAGAGACAATTTGCTACATTAATCTCTGGCCAGGAGCCAAGACAGAGTCTAGAGTAAGCCAGGCTGCTCAGGTCAAATATCTGAAGGCCTCCTCTTCTCCCTCCTCACATTTCAGTAGACTCAGTGCCAAGGGCTTGTCCTGGGGACAGGTGGCCTCAGCCACAGTAAATCCCTGAGATCCTGGACCACTGCGTGGAACCCTGTTCTCTGCATGAGGCAGGCTCCAGGTGCTACCTGCTTCCCTTTCATTTCCCCTGTTACAAAACATGGTCTCCCCTCTACTCTCTCTCAATCCTTCCTAGCCACCAGCTTCCTGGCAAGCAACCACATGGAAGCCTTTTACTTCATATTTTGTTCTTTATCTTTATGTCTCTTGATAATATACATTTATGCCACTTCAAATGTTTCCATTTTAGATATTATGTATTGACTTTTCAATATCCCTTCTGTCCATAGTACCTTCCCCAGCACACACATTTTCATCCTCCTCGTGTAGGCAGGTGGAGATTTTGAGTGCATTGAGAGCCAGAGTTAAAATTACTGACTTACGTGAATGCTACTCAGACCTGAGCCACATGGTAAACTCTCTTAGTTTTTCTTTCCACACATGCTGAAGTTTTCAAGATTTGATCATTGCCTAGTATTTTCATTTTCTTACTTTCCGTGAACCTTAAATGAATTCACCAACTGTTCCTTAGTTGAGTAAATGTCTTCTCAATACCTTTAAACTTATGTTGGCTGTTGTCAAGGTCATCTTCTTGGAGATGGCTTCCCCTCTGCTGTCCACCCACCCAGGTGACCCTCTTCCTTTCTGGTCCTGTTGCCCTTTCACCTTTTCATGGGTTGATGCCTGATTTCATACATCCCATATCTTGGTATTTTTTTTGTTCTTGTTGTTGGTTGATGTTGTTGTTGTTGTTATTTTTTGTATATTCCTTCCTCCTCTGTTTGGTATGTTCCCTCCTTCAGTTTTGTTATCCTTCAACTTTGCTATCAGGAGAAAATTTTTCATGCCTTGCAATATCTGAATTTCACCCTATTTTACAGGGTTGGATTCGGGCATCGATGTCACACCCAGCAGGAACAACTGGGGCCACTGGAGGATCCCCAAGGGCACAGGTTGCCCTTTTCATGCAGGAAGAATCTGAATCGTTTCCATCCAGTTTCCCCCGCATGCAGCAGAATACAACACAAGGGGCTGCGGTCTTCTCTGACTCTTAAGGCCCTTGGAAGATCCTGTTCTGCCCAAATCAGGGTGATTTGGGCAAGCATCCTTAGGGCTCTGGACCTTAGTTTCTTTCCCTGGTTGATTGATTGACCATATAGGTGTCCTAACTCACATAGTTGAAAATCAGATGTGGTGAAAGTGCATTGAGACCAGAAACAATGTTATTGTCCTGAAATGCATGCCCAGAGAGCACTGAATAAATTTTTAAAACACCTGACCACAGCTGGCATTTCTGTTCTTTTCTAAACTATGGGACTGATCAAAAGAGAGAGGTTAGGTGGGGTGAGTGTGGGTCCTGGCCAGGAGAATGAAGGAGGGAGGGAGGGAAAGGCTGTGAGAAGAAGTGGAAAGCGGGGTACAAAGGATGCAGGATGGTGTCACTTCAGGGAAGGGCCTGGGATTCCTAGTAAGTATGGAGGAGAGGTGGCACCTGGGATTACCTTTGGAAGCCCAGATGTAGCTGATCCCACAACTTGCTTCTCCTCCTGCCTGGACGTCTACACCAATGTGACTAGACACACAGTAGAAAAGAACTGGCACCTGATTCTCAGACTGGTACCATCTTCTACCCTCGAGTGTTTGTTTCATTCCCTTCCTCCCTGTTTCCCCACCCCAACCACCAAACTCATTGCTCCATTCTTCCAATATAACTCTATATCAGGGCACCACTGAGTTCAACGCAATGTGTCACAATCGCTGTGTTCTCCCTCTCCCAAGTGCATGATTCTCCACACTGCAGGGCTGCTGCTGGAGGATGGGGCCGGGGCGGCATTGGCAATTCGGGACAACATCCTACCCTTCTCAGTGTTTCTTTCAGTTATATGAAGTTAAAAACCAGGTTTTGTGAATGCTCACATAACTTTTGTTTCTAGTGAAGGTGATTTTGTCTTTTTTTAAATGTAGATAGTTGTTAGATTGGTATCTTTGTTGCAGGGGGACGGTTAGTGAAGTCTTCTATCTAGCCATCTTGCTCCACCCCTCTCCCTAAAAAATTTTTAAATTTCTTTCCTAATGTCTTCATTGACCCACCAGGCATTCAGGAGCATATTGTTTAATTTCTATGTGTTTGTATAGTTTCCAAAATTCCTCTTGTTATTAATTTCCAGTTTTATTCCATTGTTGTCAGAGAAGATGTTTGATATTATTTCAATTTTTTGAATGTTCTAAGACTTGTTTTGTGACCAAATATTTGGCCTGTCTTTGAGAATGATCCATGTCCTGAGAAGAAATATGTGTATTCTGCAGCTCTTGGATGAAATATGCTGTAAATATCTATTAGATCCATTTAATGTATAGTGCAGATCAAGTTCAATGTTTCTTTGGTGCTTTTCTGTCTAAATGATCTGTCCTATGCTGAAACGGGGGCTGCTGAAGTCTCTGGCTATGATTGTACTGAGATCTATCTCTCTCTTTAGCTCTAATAATAATTGCTTTATACAGCTGGGTGCTCCAGTGTTGGGGTATGTATATTTATAGTTGTTATAGCATCTTACTGAATTGACCCCTTTATCATTATATAGTGACCTTCTTTGTCTCTTCTTATAGTTTTTATCTTAAAATCTATTTTGTCTGATATAGGTATAGCTACTCCTGCACTTTTTTGATTTCCATTGGCATGACCGATCTTTTTCCATCCCTTTATTTTCAGTCTATGTGTGTGTTTATAGGTGAGTGTGTTTCTTGTAGGCAACAGATCATTGGGTCCTTTGGTTGTTTATTTTTTTATTTTTTATTTTTTTTTTATTCATTCCACCACTCCATTTCTTTTGATTGGAGAGTTTAGACCATTTACATTCAGTGTTATTATTGATAAAGAAGGACATTTTCTTATTTGTTTTCTCGTTGTTTTGCTTGTTTTCTCTTCCTTCTTTCCTTCCTTTATGTCTTCCTTTTAGTGAAGGTGATTCTCTGGTGATATGATTTAATTTCCTGTTGTTTATTTTTTGTATATCTGTTGCATTTTTTATGATTTGAGATCACCAGGCTGCTTGAAGATATCTTATAATCATTATTTTAATCTGATAAAAACTTAACACTGCTTGTATAAACAAAAACCGAAAGATATGTAATAAAAATTCACACTTTAACTCCATCCTCTTTCTTTTTAACTTTTTGTTGTTTCTATTTATATCTTCTTATACCATCTATGTCTTTTTTTAGATGAGGATCTCACTCTGTCACCCAGCCTGGAGTGCAGTGTCACAATCTCAGCTCACTGCAACCTCTGCCTCTGAAGCACAAGCAATCCTTTCACCTCAGCCTCCTAAGTAGGTGGTACCACAGACACATGCCACCATAACCAGCTAATTTTTTCCATTTTTTAAAAGAGACTGGGTTTTGCCATGTTGCCCAGGCTGGTCTGAAACTCCTGAGTTCAAATGATCTGTTCACTTCAGCCTCTCAAAGTCCTGGGATTACAGGCATGAGCCACAGCAGCTGGCTTTGTACCGTCTATGTGTTGAAAAGTCTTGTAGTTATTATTTTTTATTGGTTCACCTTTTATGCTTTCTACTTAAGACACGAGTAGTTTACACACCACAAATACAGCATTATAATATTCTGTGTTTTTCTGTGGCACTTGGTTCTTGACTGAAGAAATTACAAAGTGCAAATCTGGGTCTAAATGTAATCCATTTTCTGAAGTTAAGTGTCCCAAATATTTCTTCTGAGTTTTCACTAGCTGCAATTTTTCGTCAGAGACTTCATGATCTTCAGCAGTCAGTTGCTTTAACAGTTGTACACCATTTTTTTCATAGGCTCTCTGTGAAGCAGAGCAAAGAAGGCGGCCATCTATATATTGTAGTAAGGTGGAACCTTAAGGAGAAACTATCTCCTCCAAGTGTTCCTTTAATATTTGAAAAACACAGGAAGGGTTTTCAGTAAAAGCAAGAGGCATTACTGTCCAGGTGAATTGTTGGCCTTCCAAGGTAAAGGCAAAAAGATACTGGCTGGCCTGATCCACTGGATTACTGAAGAATGCACTTCATAGATCAATGACAGTGAAAAACCTCCTATCAATAGGTTGTGAGTTTAATGAGATATAGGGATTTGGAACCACTGATGTCTTGGAATCACTATATAGTTTATTGCTCAGAATTCCTGAGCAAACCTTTAATCCCAGTTGTTTGGTTTTTAATAGGTAAAATTAGGGTGTTAGAAGGATGAGTACATGGAATAATGAGGCCTTGCTTTTTATGTCCTTCTGTAATAGGTTTAATGACTTATAACACCATCTGGTTTAAGTGGATATTGTTTGATATTAGGCAGGGGTTTTGATGGATCAAGCTGGATTTTTATAGGAGGTATATTATAAAGTTTGCCAATATCAACAGTTTTGCCTATACAGAGACAGGTATTAGATTCAGCAGTGAAAGGGTGTGATATAGTTTGTATATTTGTCCCCACCCCAATTTCATGTTGAATTGTAATCCCCAGTGTTGGAGGTGGGTCTTGGTGGGAGGTGATTGGATCATGGGGGTACATTTCTCAGGAATGGTTTAGCACCGTCCCCTTGGTGCTGTCTTTGAAATAGTGAGAGCTGGTTGTTTAAAAGTGTGTGGCATCCTTCCCCTCCCACTCTCTCTTGTTCCTGCTTTTGCTATGTGACTTGCCTGCTCCCCTATTGCCTTCTGCCATGATGGTAAGCTTCCTGCGACCTCATCAGAAGCTGATCAGATGCCCAGCACCGTGCTTCCCATAAAGCCTGCAGAACTGTGAGCCAATTAAACTCATTTTTCTTTATAAATTACCCAGTCTCATGTATTCTTTATAGCAATGCAAGAACAGCCTAACACAAGATAGCATTATTTTTGTTTTGTCAGTGGGAATGACATAACAAGTGGGGACATTTGGAGAGTCAGGGATTCCTGAGGTCAGGAATTCAAGATCAGCCTGGCCAACATGGTGAAGCCTCGTCTCTACTAAAAATACAAAAAATTAGCTGGGCATGGTGGTGGGCACCTGTAATCCCAGCTACTCGGGAGGCTGAGGCAGGATAATTGCTTGAACCCAGGAGGTGGAGGTTTCAGTGAGTCGAGACTGCACCACTGCACTCCAGCCTGGTGACAGAGTGAGACTTCATCTCAAAAAGAAAAAATTAAAAAAAAGTTTTTAAGCAGTTTTCTTAGTAGGGTCCTCAAGGGGACAGGCAGGTGATTTGTCAAATGGACAAGATCAGAAGTGCACATAGTTTCCCTAAATTGCTGGCTCTTTTACCAAGTTCAGCATGTTTTGAAGAAAAGCTATTCACAAACTTGGAATTAAAGTCTACTCAAGTAGATTTAACATCCATAGGTAATGCAGAAATTTCTTTCTTTTTTCTTTTCTTTTCTTTTTTTTTTTTTAAGATGGAGTCTCACTCTGTCGGCAGGCTGTAGTGCAGTGGCTGGATCTGGGCTCACTGCAAGCTCCGCCTCCCGGATTCACACCATTCTCCTGCCTCAGCCTCCCAGAGTAGCTGGGACTACAGGCACCTGCCACCATGCTCAGCTAATTTTTTGTGTTTTTAGTAGAGATGAGGTTTCACCTTGCAAGCCAGGATGGTCTCAATCTCCTGACCTCGTGAACTGTCCGCCTCGACTTCCCAAAGTGCTGGGATTACCGGCGTGAGCCACCGCGTCCGGCCTAGTTTAGTTTTAAGAAAGACAAGTTTGGGGAACTCAAAAGACCCCAAGGATGGCCACTGAAGATCCAAATTAACTTTGCTATACTCTATCCGTTGATTTTAAAAAGTACACAAGAGACGACCTTAATCTTTTTCTTTTCTTATTTATTTTTATTTTTATTTTTGACATGAAGTTTCCCTCTTTTCTCCCATGCTGGAGTGCAATGGCATGATCTCGGCTCACTGCAACATCTGCCTCCCGAGTTCAAGCTGTACTCCTGCCGCAGCCTCCCGAGTAGCTGGGATTACAGGTATGCGCTACCACATCTGGCTGAATTTGTATTTTTATTAGACACGGGGTTTCTCCATGTTGGTCAGGTTGGCTTCCAACTCCCAAATTCAGGCGATCCGCTTGCCTGGGCCTCCCAAAATGCTGGGATTACAGGCGTGAGTCACCACGACCGGCCTTAATTTTTTAAAATATAGATGAACTCTTGCTATGTTGCCCAGGATGGTTTCAAACTCATGAGCTTAAGTGATCTTTCCACCTTGGCCTCCCAAGGTGCTGGGATTACAGGCATGAGCCACTGACCATAATTTTTGAACATATAGCTGACAGGAATCCCAGAAGAGGGCCTATATTGGATGTTTTGGAGTTTTGGCATCCTGTTCTGCCTCTTATTAATTTCTCAACAGCAAAAGAAAAATTCTATAATCCCTGTGAGGAAATGGTAGGGGTTGGAGCGATTTGTTTTTTAATAGTGTGCCTAGCATAGGATTTTTGTTTTTACTTGATGTGCAGGCAGCCTGTGATCTAATTGTCTATCCTGTCACCATTTTCTCCAGAATTTTCCTGAGACTGGCATGCTGCCTAATGGCAATCTTGTTTATTCATGTACCACTTTATCCTGACAACAAAAAATTTCTCTTTGGGGAGACTGAAGTCTCACATAGAATGGTGACAACAGCCCAAACAGCTTTTAAGGAGTTGACTCATCCTCACCATTTTAGAAAGTAAATTTTGCTCTCAAAAGATGTTCAGAAGCAGAGGAAAAATCAAGCAACAAACTCAGTATAAGTCTCTTCCAAAGATAATCTTTCTTCAGCATCATTTCTGACACTAGATTATTCAACCTAAAAAACATGACATTAGAAATGTCCAAATATGTTGAGTTTATTTGGGAATGAGAATGAGGATTGTAACCTAGGGTGCACTGATGGATTGCCATTCTGGAAATATTAGCTTAGCCAGATGTAGTGGGTTGAATGGTGGTCCCCGCAAAGATATGTTTCTGTCCTAGTGCCCAGAAGCTGTGAATGTCAAGTTGTTTGGAAAAAAAGGGTCTTTGCAAATGTAATTAAGCTGAGGATATTGAAATCAGGAGATCCTCCTAGATGACCCAGGTGGGCTCTAGATCCAATGACAAGTGTCTTTCTAACAGGTACACAGAAGAGAGAGTCAGAAGAGGAGAAGGTGATGTGAAGAAGGAGGCAGAGACTGGAGCAATGGGGCTACAAGCCAAAGAACGCTGACCAATGCCCTGCAGCTGCCAGAGCTGGAGGACTCAAGGAATGGATTTGCTCTTAGAGCCTTCAGAGGGAGTGAGGCCCTGCATATTGATTTTGCAGTTTGGGCCTCCAGAACTGTGAAAGAATAATTTTCTGTTGTTGTAAGTTGCCAACTTTGAGGGCATTTGTTGTGGCAGCTACAGGAAGCTAATATACCAGGTGATCAACTTCAATATCAACAGTGGTACATGAAATTGATATTCTATAACCTTGATAAGGTGTTTGGAGAATAGCACTTCACCTCATCTAAACAACCATAACCATAGTCTAACCATGATCTACACCCCAACTAAATTCAGTTTGAGGGACATTTTACAATATATCTGGTCAGTACTTCCCAATATTGTGAAGGGCATCAAAAATTAGGAAAATCTCAGGAATTGTCACAGACCAGAGGATGCCGCGGAGGCACGACGGAGACTAAATGTAGTGTGATATTCTCCATGGAATCCTGAAACACAGAAAGGACATTAGGGGAACGCTAATGAACTCCAAATAAAGTCTGCAGTTTAGTAATAATAAGGTATGAAAATGGCTTCATTAGCTGTGACAAATGGACCATAGTAATGAGAGATGTTAACACCAGGGGAAACTGACTGTGGAGCGGATGGCAACTCTGTACTACCATTGCAACTTTTATGTAAATTTAAAACTCTTCTAAAATAAAATTATTTAAAAGTAGCAGTCAGGAGAGGATTAAGGAGTGGAAGAAAAAATGATCAACTGTCCATTTTCCTGGAGTGTTGCCATGAAAAGGCTGGAGGGAGGGTTTGCAAGGAGGAGTTGGAAACCTCAGAGACAGGCCGCTCCAGAGCCCTCCTCTGTTCCGCAGAGCCGGAACCCCGCGCAGTCCAGGGCTTCTCAGAAGGCCTTTCCACCCCCTGGACAACCCCAGCCCCACCTCATTGATACATCCTTTCTGGATCAACAATCTGTGTCTTACTCAGACCACCGCCCGGTCCTCTCCAGAGCGGCTCATTAGAACCCGAGCGCAGAGCGGCAGCGCCCCCGTGTGGCCCAAGGACTGAGGACAGACACTCAGCTCCCCTTTCGCTTCCCCACCCGCGACTTCTACAGGGTCCCGTTCGGTTTCCAGCCACAGAACAGGGCTCTGTGCACACGGGGGCGCCCTGCTCCCGTGTCGGTGTCTCCAAATCCTGGAGTACAGATGTTTCCTCCCAGTTACTGGCGGTGGAGTCTGATCTCAAGGCAGAGGGAGGTCTGCAGGCCCTAAGATCTGGTTCCCAGGTCTGCGTAACCCCACAGACATACTGTGCGCCCAGTACCCAATCTCTCAGTGTTTTTGGAATGAGGCCTTGGACTCCCGAGTCCCTGAAATTTGTTCTGCTGCTTCCAGGGAGGAAGATACCTCCTCGCCGGAATCCACTAGTTGATCCTCCAACCCTACTTTGGAGGGACCCAGGAAGGACATGGCGTTGGAGCTGGACCCAGGAAGAACATGGCGTCGGAGCTGTAACTATATTGGGTTACAAGGATGTCTGGGATCAGACTGGGCCGAGCATTTGCCCCCAATCCCTCGGTTACCGGAGGGAGGTCCCTCCGCGACTCCCCGGACCTCCAGGACCCAGGCATCGGAACCCACACCCTCCTGGAGCGGACCCTTCCCAGCCCCAGTCCAGGACCCCGAGTCCCGCCCCTTCTTCCCCTTTGCGACCTAAGCAGACAGGACCTGCTGTCTACATCTCTTAGGCCTCGTCCCCTGCCATCTCCATTCCCTGATTAAAGTTTCTTGATCCCGGAACCAAATCTAATTTCTGGTCTCGTCTATTGTCCGCGACGATCACCGACCAGGAGAGGCTCCCCAGCCCCAAACAGGCTGCGGCTGAGCGACAGCGGCGGATTTTGGCGCTTTGGCCCAGACTCTCTCGCCGAAGCACCCCGCGACCCCTGCCTGGAGGCTGCGCAGGCAGCTGGGGGTCGGGCTTCGTCTGGGGCCTCGCAGGAGGAGCGGGGTCTGCAGCAGGAGGGGGCCCGCTGGGATTTCTGCCACTGAAGCTGCACTCGCCGCCCTGGGTAAGGCTCCCCCCAGCCCTCCCCTGTGGACCTCGCTGTGGTTCCTTTCCTATTCCCTTTGGGCAGTGTGCTGTAGGTTTCCATGTGAGGGCCAGTACTCCTTGCCTGTCATCTCACTCTCCAGTTTGCTGCAAAGTGCAAGCGACCCCATACCCGCCTTTGCCCCACCCCTTGCCTCTCCTGGGGACATTCGGCCTGCTCAGTAGTGGGCCTTGTAAGGACCTGCAGGACAGCCTGAGAGGGAGCTACCCCAAAGGCCCAAGGAGTTCCCGGAAACCCTCTGCACTCACTCACCTCCCCACCAAGCGCCCCTGCATTCTTCCTGCACTGCACTCCAGGTGTTGACAGCTCCTGGGCAGGGTAGCAGGTTCCAGGCAGCCCAGGCTGAGGTCCTCTGCTGGGGATTCACTGTTGCAAGAAGACAGGATTCTGACTTTATGGGGGAAGGGCTGGATAGGAACCAGGAGACCAGTTATAGGCCTGTTGCTATCAATCCTGGGACCAGTTAATTGATCTGTGTTCAGTACAGGATAGCAAAAATGGACTTGACCTTTTCTCATGTGAATATTTTCAGATACCCTCACTCCCAGCCTTCCTTCCCTGGGCACAGAGGAGACCTGCCTCAGGCGAAGTACCTCCGTGGAATTAAAAAGTATCTTGGGCTCAGCTCTCCTCAGGGGCCTTCAGAACTCACCAAGGATAAAGCTGCAGACTTCTGGCGGTCACACAGGGACTAAAACCGATAAAATCCACAAGTCAATTGCGACTCAATCTTCCTTCCTCTTGCCGCAGTGTTCCTCACTTAGTCTTGGATGGAAGCTTCGGTCCTCTCCTGGGCCCCAACCTGCAGTCCCCAGGTTCCCCGTTTTTCACGTCTAATCTCAATTGACTCCCTCCTCCACACACCATTTTTGACCACCCAGTCCACAGAACGCCCCGGGCTTCCTAATGGGCCAGGTCCTCCTTAAGAGAGGCAGGGAGGTGGAGAGCGAGCATGGACGCCGAGCGCCTGCTGGGCAAACCCGAATCTGGGGCCTGACCTCGCCGCCGGCAGCCGGTGAATATGTCGCAGGACCGGTGGTGGCTTGGCAGTCTTCTCCTGTCCTCTGCTCTTGGCCCCAGACCCGCGCTCACAGCCACCTCCTGAAGCCACCAGCTCTGCACCCTCTCGGCCACGCAGGGGAAGAGGGGACTGGATGGAAGCCGCGGACTCTCGGCGCTGTCAAGGTCACTGTTGTGAAGAGCCGGGAGACCTGATGTGGACACAGGGAGGCCTGGACCGGAGGCGCGGCTGGCCAGAGGCTTCGCGTCTGCCCCTCTTCCTTCAGAGCCTCCTGCTCCCAGGGAAGCTCCGCGCGTGTTCTCAAAGCAGAGAGTGGTTTCCAAACGGACCCCCCAGCATCCGATTGGGCTATCCCGCCCCAGGCTGGAGGGTGGGTGCTCATGGGGTCGCCAGTCACCAAGGGCCCCACCTGAGAGGACCCGGTCTCTCCTCCAGGCTGCGCTGGGCCTCGAGGGAGGCGAGCAGCTCGGCTTTGAAGAAGGCTCCGGCCGGCGCTGCCCAACTCGGACAACCTTCCTGGCCCACCCGGGAGTTGAGTTTCAAGGCTTCCCGGAGAGGCCAGCCCGCATTCGGAGCGGAAGGTTTCTCAGGCCGCGAGCCTCGGAGAGAAGCAGCGCTTGTTCCCTGAGCCTGGGGCCACCGCTGGGCGGGAGCGCGCTTGGATCTTGCAGCAGCTAAAGCCTCGTGGGCTCCTCCTCGACTACAAGCCGCGGAAAACAAGTTGCAGCTCAGCACTATTTAAGTTGAGGTTTTTCTGTTATGCCTGCGGTTTGCTGTTTCAGCGCTTTGCTGTTTCAGCTTAGTGAAAGCTGAATGTACTTAGTACTTCAGCTTAGTTTTTCAGCTTAGTGTACTTAGAGAAGAGGCTTCTTCCTCTTTTGGGGGAATCAGTGGGTAGAGAGGAATTCCGTGGTTAGAGCCTACTTGGTCTTTAAGAGTCGACTATAATTTTGATTTTGATCCTCAACCACATTCGAGATCACAGTTCCCCGGTCAGTCTCAGCTCATCAGCAAAGGGTTTGGTGGCTCTCTCCAGAGGAGACTGAACGAGGTTGTCAAAGCGGCTGGATCAAAAGTGTTCCCCTGTCGGATGGAGCGGTGTCCAGGATGAACCTGAGCATTGTACCAGCATTTGGGGGTGTGGAGTTGGGAGGGAAAGCCAAGGCCCCACAGTGTGAGGAAGGAGACTGGGCAGAGCCCTCAGTGTTTAGGAATCTCTAAATACTAAATACTACATCTCTAAATACTAAATACTGAGCTGGGATGGAATCTCTGTGCTGGAGGCTAGTGGTGCAAACTGCAGTTTCTCATCTGCAGGCACAGATGACTGACTGCCTTCAGCATGGGCTCACCTGTCCATCTCTCCTCCTGACCCCGGTCTCATTACAGGAGAGGGAACTGGGTGCTAGAGGGTGGGGAATCCAGGACATCAGCGGTGTCGCACCTGGATAAAGCATTTTGCAAACACAAGTCCCAGGGCTGACTATTGATTTTACCACATGCAGCCTGTTTTTATTTATTAATTTCCTTTCTTTTCCCTTAAATTCCAATGACAAAGTATAACGTAAATCAACGTCCTTAAAATGTATGTAATCCTCTTCATTTAGTAACTATTCTGACCTCAAGTATCCATTCTCTAGTCAAGGATTATACCTGTTTCTCCTAGCCCCCACCAGTGCTGGGTCTGTTGTACCCCTCCCGCAGTATTGCCTCCCCCTAAATAAGCACATTTCCCTATAATTTCTTCCTTTTTCTCTATGCCTTCCCATCATGTTTGCACTTGCTGTGAAGTAAGGAAATGCTCCCCAATTCTGTTATTCCTTCCTACCCTTAGGAGATTTCTCCCTCTGCACTGAGGATCTCACTATGCACCTCCAGCCCTGGGTCCTGGTGGGCTCTGGTGGCCACTGGAGTCCTTGGAGCTGCCTCCCTCTGGCTCTGCTGGGTGAGTGCTCTTCTATCCTCTCTTTCTCCACTGATAAAAACAAATCCGAGAACATGTTCAGAATAACACTTCCAGAAAGGATGGTGTTGAGGGGGATCGGGAGTACGGGAAGGAACTCCACTCCCTTGGATGAATTTGGAGACAGTTTGTTACATTAATCTCTGGACAGGAAACAAGACAGAGCCTAGAGTAAACCAGGCTGCTCAGGTAAAAGGTCCGAAGGCCTCCTCTTCTCCCTGCCCACATTTCAGTAGACTCAGTGCCAAGGGCTTGTCCTGGGGGCAGGTGGCCTCAGCCACAGTAAGTCCCTGAGATCCTGGACCACTGCGTGGAACCCTGTTCTCTGCATGAGGCAGGCTCCAGGTGCTACCTGCTTCCCTTTCATTTCCCCTGTTCCAAAACATGGTCTCCCCTCTACTCCCTCTCAATCCTTCCTAGCCACCAGCTTCCTGGCAAACAACTACATAGAAGCCTTTTACTTCATATGTTGTTCTTTATCTTTATGTCTCTTGATAATATACATTTATGCCACTTCAAACATTTCCATTTTAGATATTAAGTATTGACTTTTCAAAATCCCTTCAGTCCATAGTACCTTCCCCAGCACACACATTTTCATCCTCCTCATGTAGGCAGGTGGAGATTTTGAGTGCATTGAGAGCCAGAGTTAAAATTACTGACTTATGTGACTGCTACTCAGACCTGAGCCACATGGTAAACTCTCTTAGTTTTTCTTTCCATACATGTTGATGTTTTCAGAGAATTGATAATTGCCCGGCATTTTCATTTTCTTACTTTCCATGAACCTTAACAAATGAATTCACCAACTGTCCCTTAGTTGAGTAAATGTCTTCTCCATACCTTTAAACTTATGGTGGCTCTTGTCAAGGTCATCTTCTTGGAGATGGCGTCCCCTCTGCTGTGCTGTCCACCCACCCAGGCGACCCTCTTCTTTTCTGGTCCTGTTGCCTTTTCACCTTTTCACCTTTTCATGGGTTGATGCCTGATTCTATACATCCCACGTCTTGGTCTGTTTATTTTTGTTTTGTATTCTTTTTAATATATATTCCTTCCTTCTCTTCTTGGTATGTTCCCTCCTCTCTGAGTACATCCTTCAACTTTGCTATTGGGAGAAAATTTTTCATGCCTTGCAATGTCTGAATTTCTTCTTATTTTACAGGGTTGGATTCAGGAGTTGAGGTCATCCCCAGCAGGAGCAACTAGGGCCACTGGAGGATCCCCAAGGACACAGGTCACCCTTTTCATGCAGGAAGAATCTGAATGGTTCCCACCCAGTTTCCTGGGCAGGCAGGAGAATCCAACACGAGGGGCTGCTGTCTTCTCTGACTCTTAGGGCCCTTGCAAGATCCTGTTCTGGGTGATTTAGCTGAAGGGCAGGGTGATTTGGGCAAGCATCCTCAGGGCTCTGGGCCTCAGTTTCCTTCACTGGGTGATGGGTTGATCAGATAGATGGCCTTCCCCACATAGCTGAAAATCAGATGTGGTGAAAGTGCATTGAGACCGGAAACAATGTTATTGTTCTCAAATACATGCCCAGAGAGCATGAAATAAATTTTTATTCAGCTGGCATTTCTGTTCCTTTCTGAACTATGGGACTGATCAAAAGAGAGAGGTTAGGTGGGGTGAGTGTGGGTCCTGGCCAGGAGAATGGAGGAGAGGGAAAAGCTGTGAGAAGAAGTGGAAAGAGAGGTACAAAGAATGCAGGATGGTGTCACTTCAGGGAAGGGCCTGGGATTCCTAGTAAGTATGGAGGAGAGGTGGCACCTGGGATTACCTTTGGAAGCCCACATGTAGCTGATCCCACCGCTTGCTCCTCCTCCTGCCTGGAAGTCTATGCCAACGTGACTAGATGCACAGTAGAATGGAACTGGTGCTTGATTCTCAGACTGGCACCATCATCTACCCTCAAGAGTTTTTTTCATTCCCTTCCTCCCTGTTTCCCCACCCCAACTGCCAAACCCATTGCTCCATTCTTCCCATATAACTCTACCAGGTACCCACCTCTTGGGTTCTAGTCATGTCCGAAGAAGTCTTTTATTAATTTATTTCTTGTAGAGATAGGGTCTTGCATTGTTGTCCAGGCTGGTCTTGAACTCCCGGCCTCACCTCAGCCTACCATAGTGCTAATATTATAGGTGTGAGCCACTGCTCCCAGTCTGTGTCTGACAATGTCTTGAGTGACTAAAAGGCATTTTCTTTCACTTTGTAGTCTTGGGCTTCCTTCAGTCTGCCTCTCTCCTCTTTTCCTGTGACCCCAGGCAGGCTTTGTCATTCCCTTCCTCCTCTGGGGTGCCCTCTGGGCTTCAGAGCAGCCCTGGTGAGAATCTGCAGGGCAACCTGCACACTAGCTGGCTGGGCTTCTGAGCCCTTCCACACTCACTCATATGCCTCTCCCACCTCCCTCCAGTGGTGAGATCGGGAATACAACTCACTGAGTCTCCAAGTCCAATGGATTTTCTATCCCAGGGATGAGCATCTCCTAGTCATCTTCTGTGAAGTAGAGGGAGGCTTCTGTTCCCTTCTGGGCTTCAATTCTGCACTTCCAGAGTTCCCCATTCTTCACGTTTAGTCACTCTACCTCCCTACACATATTTTTGGAATCAACCAACCAGGCTAGATGGACCAGCCAGTCCCCAACCTGAGAGCTGGCAGGGAAGTTCTTAAATAATGGTTTAGTTTTCCTATAGTGTGACAAAACTGGCTCCAAATGCCAAATGAAACCCCTTTAGTGCATGCCCCATGTGCTCAGAAATTTGCCTTATACTCCTTCACTCACACAGAAAAGCAAAGACAAAAATAAAATAACAAAATTCAATTTCCACAACTAAATTTCCCATGTATTATTTTTCCCAACAGAGTTCATCAACAAGCCTGTGATACCTTAGGATATACTGTGTTCTGTAAATCTAAAACACCACCTTACATTTGTAAGGCTAACATTTACAGAGCACTTGGTATGTCCAAGGCTCTAGTCTAATATCCAAGTGAATATTATCTGATTTGTTCCTTGTGATGATTAATTTGATTTCTCAACATGACTGGGTCACGAAGGAGCCCAGATATTTGGCCGAGTACGCGCGGGAGTGCCCAGCGGGTCCCGCCCCGCCACGTCTGCAGGGCCGGCGGGGACGCGGCC